>NC_000006.12:157343517-157495032 GCF_000001405.40 Homo sapiens
AGTACTAGCAGCAGTAGTAGTTTTTTACCATTGATCTGAATTTTTTTTCTTTACATAAAGAAAACCTGAACCCATGACATCATTTCAAAAACAAAAACCAAAGGCCGGGCGCAGTAGCTCGTGCCTGTAATCCCAGCAATTTGTGGGGCTGAGGCAGGAGAATTGCTTGAGCCCAAGAGTTTGAGATCAGTCTGGACAACATGGTGAAAACCTGTTTTTACAAAAAATACAATTGGCTGGGCATGATGGTGAGTGCCTGTGGTCCCAGCTACTCAGGAGGCCAAGGTCAGAGAATCGCTTGAGCCCAAGAGGTTAAGGCTACAGTGAGCTATGATCATGCCATTACATTCCAGCCTATGTGACAGAGTGAGACTCTGTCTCAAACAAAGACAAAGCAAAACAAAAAGCGGGTGGACAACTTGCACATTCCTGTCCAAATGCCAAGTCTCCTGCAGTACTGCGTTCTGAGCCTGGTGAAGGTAAGTACAGGAAGTAAAATGCTCTGGAAACTGACAGAACTAAGGAAGCGATACAAATGCTGGGAGAGAACAGACATGCTGTAGTTAATTCCAGGTGCCTTAATGAGAAACAAGTGAGATCAGTTCATGGGCAGGTCTTAGAAACAGAGAACAGAGAAGCTGAGTTCAGCTGAATGAAGTATCTGTCCACATCCTAGGCACGTGCCTCTCACTGCCCCACCACTCTGGGCTTCTTGGAGTCAACATACTTCCTCAGCACAAGACTTTTTAGAATTCTTTTTAAATTCTTTTTAAATTAAAATTGTATATACATATGGTATACAACATGATATTTCTGATATATGTATATGTTGTGGAATGATTAAATCAAGCTACTTAATTTGTGCATTGCCTTACATACTTAGCATTTTTTGTATTAAGAACACTTAAAAATCTCTCTTAGCAATTTTCAAGTGTAAAATATATTATTATTAACTATAGTTACCATGATGTACAATAGATCTTTTGAACATTCCTCCTGTCTACCTGGAATTTTTTATCCTTTGACCAACGTCTCTCCAATCCCTCCTCCCCCCAGCCCTAGCTTTTTAGTTTGATATAATCCTATTTGTTTATTGTTGCTTGTGTTTTTGGGGTCATATCCAAAAAATCGTTGCTCAGACCAATGTCATAGAGATTTTCTCCTAGGTTTTCTTCTGGCAGTTTTACAGTTTCACTTGTTACATTGAAGTCTTTAAACCATTTTGAGTTTGTTTTTGTATATGATGTGAGATGAGGATCTAATTTCATTCTTCTGCACGTGGGTAACCAGTTTTCCCAACACCACTTATTGAAGAGACTGTCCTTTCCCCATTGTGTGCTCCTGACATTTTTGTCAAAAATCAATTGGGATGTGCCTGACACTGGTCAGTTTTGGCTGTAGGTAGGGTTGCCTGGGACAAGTGCAGGCTCAGAGCTGGAGTCTCATGTAGGACTTGGCTGCCTGGCCAATAAGTGATTTGAACACCTTGAGAAGACAATCCAGGTTTTTTGGGGATAATGAAATTGTTCTTTCCATTGGGTGAACCGTAGTTCTAGCCCTATAAAAGTTTAGAATTAGAAATGGAGATGCTGAAGTAAACCAAACTATGCTATTTATACCTTTGTATAAAGTTCAAGAAATCATTGAGACAATCTGAGTGTACGTAGATTTTAAGTGTTCGTAATAAGAGGATTGGGCACATTAGAACAAAGACAGCCCTGCTTGTGATTCCACTTAAAATGCATAATTAAGTAATTACACATTTTGATTTCAGACATGATTTTAGATTGAGTTTAAAATTTGATTAGACCAGGCGCTGTGGCTCCTGCCTGTAATCCCAGCAGTTTGGGAGGCCAACGGGAGGTGATCATTTGAGGTCAGGAATTCGAGACCAGCTTGGCCAACATAGTGAGACCTCTTCTCTACTAAAAATACAAAAATTAGCCAGGTGTGGTGGTGCGCACCTGTAATCAATCCCAGCTACTCAGGAGGCTGAGGCAGGAGAATCGCTTGAACCCAGGAGGCAGAGATTGCAGTGAGCTGAGATCGCACAGTTGCACTTCAGCCTGGACCACAGAGTGAGACTCCATATCAAAAAAAATCTTTTAAAATTAATTTTATAGAAGAATGTTTAAGTGAGCTTAAGAGTCACTATATTTATAGGCTTAATGTATTACATTTATTACCATTGTTAAGGATTTGGAATGGCTTTGCTCTTTAGAATAGGCATTTGAAGCAGTCCAAAGGAAAATGGAATATATTACATTTATCACTGCAGTTTCACATATTTGAGGGAATTTAATTAACCACAAGTAAATGGGAATTATTAAGGAAGTTTAGTCTGTTCAACTTGATGTGATCAGTCATTGATAAAAGAAAATGAAATTAACTATTCTTGTTTTGCTAGATGTATAAGTAGACTAAGAGTTGTCATTTGACCTTAGTGGCTCAAGGAAAACTTAGGTTTTAAAATGTGGCATACCCTCCTCCTTTCCAGTTTCCTTCAGCCTTTCCCCAAGAGGCTCAGGGGTCCCTGTGCTTTAGAGATTGGGGGGCAGGAAGGCTGCCCATGAAGGCTTCAGGACAAGTGGTGAGATGTGCTGCTGCCTCTCTAGGAGGGTCAGGGACTGAGACTGCTTACAGGGTCCAAAGGAGATCTGGCTTTACCTCTTGGGACAGGTGCCTTGTGAAAAAGCCATACACATTTCCTAAAAAGAAATGTCTTCAGCAACAGAGATCAGCAACAAATGGAACCACACTGCACCTGCCAGAGCCTGAGGTGCCACACTGCACCCCTCTCCAAGATGTGCCCGCTTTGCACTTTTGCCTACTCAGAACTAGGTCCTGGAGTCATATTAGCTATTACCCTTTGTCCAATGCTGTACAGATGACACCATTGCCAGTTACCTCTGCATCAATTTTATAGGAAAGCTGGTCTCAAGGCACTGTAAGTCTTATTTTAAAGACAAGGAGCATTACTCGGGTTTCAATAATGCATAGATCTGGAGCCTGATAAGACATAAGAGAAGGAGCATTTATCCAGCTGGCAGCAATTAGTAATGGAATGGCACATTTTGAGCCAAGGAATTACACAGCCCCCTAAGGGAAGGGTTAGTGTTATAAGAATGATACACCGGCCATGTCTCAGGCCCCTGGCTATGTCTCAGCCACTCACTGGAGTCTTCAGCCTATGCACATGGGATACATAAACTGCAAATGGCATGTCCAAATAAAGACCCATCACAAGACAGAAGACAAGAAATCACATTGATGAGATGGACACCCAGTAAGAATCTGTTGACTTGCCTAGGCAGGTAGGGGATTGTCTTAGTTCATTTTCATGCTGCTGATAAAGACATACCTGAGATTGGGAAGAAAAAAGGGGTTTAATGGACTTACAGTTCCACATGGCTGAGGAGGCCTCACAATCATGGCAGAAGGCAAGGAGGAGCAAGTCACATCTTACATGGATGGCGTCAGACAAAGAGAGAGAGTTTATGCAGGGAAACTCCCGCTTTTAAAACCATCAGATCTGGAGAGATTCATGCACTATCATGAGAACAGCACAGGTATATCAAGGATATATCTGCTGTCTCAGAGCTAGATGATGATGAAGCAAGGACAAGGATCCCAGATACCCAACACTTTAATGTTCCCTATACCGTGATTCTAGTTACATTTAGCAAAGGTAAAACCTAAATTATGTGGATTCCAATTAAACGGGACAGGAGCAGCATAAAATATGCTTTCCTCAATGGATAGTATAATTTATTCTAGACCAATTGTGTAAACAAAATAGGAGTGAAATAATAGGCATATGAACAGACATTTCAAACACTCATGTCCTTTAGAATCACCACCTTATGGTAACTGATATGGAACACACACACACACACACACACACACACACATCCTTATTCATTTTCAAAGGCAATCTAAGGATTTCCAATTGTTAGCTTAATTTGTTTAAAATGCAATTGAGAGTAAAAAAAATCTATTAGACCATTTTCTCTAACTTAAATTGACCTTTATTTACTAAGATTCACAAGTGAGTTCTTTCACAGAGTCTGTAAAAGGTAGAATGGGGAGATATTTGAGACAAAGGAAATGATATTATTAAAGACTTCAAAATATGTTTGGGTCTCTTCTGGTAAAGCCTCCTTGTTCCCCCAGGTTAAGACAAGACTGCCTCTCCTTACTCTCAAAGTACACATCTCTATCACAGTCCTTCCCCTAAGGCATCTTGTGATCACTGGTTATTGGGTTTCTCTCTCTTTCTAGACCAAGAGTTCCTTGAGGGCAGGAACTCTCTCTTTCTCTGTGGTCCCAGTACCTAACCCAATCCCAGGTACCCAGCAGAGACTGAGTAGATATTTCCTACTTATCACTGGATGACTCAGTTGCCGCTCCAGGTGTGAGAGATTGGCTTGTGGTAGATGAAAGGAGCATGCATGGATATGGTGAACTGACCCTCAGCCACTATTCCACTCGCTTTCTAGAGGCCTTTCTCTCCTGCAGAGGCAGAAAACTAAAGGCTGCTTCTCTGGAATCCTGTGCAGCCAGTGTTCTGTGTGTGAATTCAGTTCTATCAATTAGATGTGCTTTCCTGAGATTTGGATGTGGAAAGTGACATGCGGCAAGGGCAGGTCACCCTTCTCCACCTTGATTGTTGCTGCTGGCCAGACAGGTGGTAGAGAGACTGGGTTTATTCCCAAGTGTCCAGTCACTAGTGGTGTGCATTTTGGGGGACTTCATGGGTGTATGGGTGGCTCCCTGATATCTGGATTGCAGCAAGGATGGGGTTTGTTTTTTGTTGTTTTTGAGACAGTTTCCCTATGTTGCCCAGGCTGGAGTGCAGTGGTGTGATCTCAGCTCACTGTAACCTCTGCCTCCCAGGCTCAAGTGATTCTGATGCCTCAGCCTCCTGAGTAGCTGGGATTACACCATACCTAGCTAATTGTTTTGTATTTTTAGTAGAGACGGGGTTTTGCCATGTTGGCCAGGCTGGTCTGGAACTCCTGGCCTCAAGTGATCCACCCACCTCAACCTCCCAAAGTGTTAGGATTACAGGCGTGAGCCACCATGCCCAGCCTGGGATGGATATGTTTTAACACTTCCAGTGGAAGCCTCTGGAACCCCACCTGCCTGATTGGAGAATTCCCCTGGAGATCCAGTTTGGTGGTCTTGCATGGGGTTCATTCCTGGCAGTCAGCCAGGCAAAGATCCTCCAGCCTCCCAGTGATTTTGTAAGCCCTGAATTATCTGTATACTTCTCTCTGTGCTTCAGATTATTGGAATGGCTTCTGTCTGCTGCCTCTGAACCTTGACTGATGTAATGGAAAGGAGAAAGAAACCTGCTTGAAAGGAAGGCTTGCGGGACTTGATAGTACAATGTAGAGAACATAAGGCAATGAGAGGTGCCAGAGAAGTTACTAGGAAATGAGAGGCTCCCCTAACTCACGCGTA
Source organism: Homo sapiens (assembly GCF_000001405.40). Classification (NCBI taxonomy): domain Eukaryota; kingdom Metazoa; phylum Chordata; class Mammalia; order Primates; family Hominidae; genus Homo; species Homo sapiens. The sequence goes on from NC_000006.12 coordinate 157,348,984, forward strand.
TCTGTCTTAGACTCCGCCTTCACCATGTTGATAGGTCATGCAAGTACAGATGTCTGTGGAAGGACCGAGAGTGATAGGGGTTAGGGGGAGAGATTTAAGAGCCATCAGCATACACCTAGTAACAAAAGTGTATACGTAGAGACAAGCTCCTTGAAGAAGAGCTTGCAGAGACTCGAACTGGGAATCACTTCTTATTTTATGCTCTTAAAATGAAAATATAACATATATACAAGAAAGATATATGGCACGGTGGCTCACGCCTATAATCCTAGCACTTTGGGAAGTCAAGGCAGGTGGATTGCTTGAGGTCAGGAGTTTGAGACTAGCCTGAGCAACATGGTGAAACCCCATCTGTACTAAAAATACAAAATTAGCTGGGTGTGGTGGCACACTCCTGTAATCCCAGGTACTTGGGAGGCTGAGGCAGGAGAATTGCTTGAACCCAGGAGATGTAGGTTGCAGCGAGCCGAGATCGCACCATTGCACTCCAGCCTGGGCAATAAGAGGGAAACTCCATCTCAAAAAAAAAAAAAAAAGCACACGTCTTAGATCCTTAGTTCAGTGAATCTTTACAGAGTAAAAACAATTGAGTCACTCCCATCTAGATCAAGCTATGGAGCCCTACTGCACCCAGAGTTCTCCCTCATGCCTTCTTCCCAGTCCAAACCCTTCCAAAGGTAACCAGAATTCTCAGTGCTGTCACTGTAGATTTTTCCTTGTTTTTAAACTTTATATAAAGGAAATATTGCAGTAGGTGTTATTTTTGTGTCTGTGTCTGTTTTGGTTTTGTGTGTGTGTGCGTGTGTGTGTGTGTGTGTGTCTGGTTTTCTTACTCAATACAGGATTTGTGAGATTCATCCATGTTGTATAACTACCAATAGTTTGTTCATTTTTATTGCTATACAGTAATAGTAAAAGTCCATTGCATGACTTTTACACAATTTATTGATGTATTCTACTATTGATGAATATTTGGTTATTTTCAGTTTGGGGCTATTATGAATAGCACTACGGTGAATATTCTTCTTGTACATGTCTTTCGATGCACTTCTGTTGGGTATATACCTCAGGGTAGAATTGCTGGGTGATAGGGTATGTGTATAGCAGATATTTGCCAAACAATCTTCCAAAGTGGGCTCAAGCAGTCTGTCCACCTCAGCCTTTCAAAGTGCTGGTATTACAGGCATGAGCCACTGTGCTCAGCCAGATGTTGCATTTTTTATAAATTGAAGTATTGTGGCAACTCTGTGTCAAGGAAGTCTATCAGTGTCATTTTTTCAACAATATGTGCTCGCTTCAAGTCTCTGTGTCACATTTAGGTAATTTTCACAATATTTCAAACTTTTTCATTATTATTATAACTATTATGATGATCTGTGATTGGAGATCTTTGATGTTACTATTGTAATTGTTTTGGGGCACCAGGAATCACACCCATATAAGATGGGGAACTTAATAAATGTTGTGTGTGTTCGGACTGCTTCACTGACCTGCCATTCCCCTATATCTCTCCCTCTCCTCAGGCTTCCCTATTCCCCGAGACACACAATATTGAAATTAGGCCAACTAATAACCCTATAATGGCCTCTAAGTGTTCAAGTGAAAAGAAGAGTCTCTCACTTTAAATCAAAAGCTAGAAATGGTTAAGCTCAGTGAGGAAGGTATGTCAAAAACCAAGATAGGCTGAAAGCTAGGCCTTCTATGCCAATTAGCCAAGTTGTGAATGCAAAGGAAAAGTTCTTGAAGGAAAAGTGTTACTCTAGTGAACATACGAAGGATGAGAAAGTGAAATAGGCTTATTGTTGCCATGGAGAAAGTCTGGATCAAAGATCAAACCAGCCACAACATTCCCTTAAGCCAAAGCTTAATACAGAGCAAGACCCTAACTCTTTTCAATTCTATGAAGGCTGAGAGAGATGAGGAAGCTGCAAAAGAAAAGTTTGAAGCTAGCAGAGATTGGCTCGTGGGGATTAAGGGAAGAAGCCATCTCCATAACATAAAAGTGCAAGGTGCTGCAGCAAGTTATCCAGAAGCTCTAGGTAAAATAATGGATGAAGGTAACTATGAAAAACAACAATTTACAATGTTGTCAAAACAGCCTTCCATTGGAAGAAGATGCTGTTTAGGACTTTCATAACTACAGAAGGGTCAATGCCTGGCTTCAAAGCTTCACAGAACAGGCTGATTCTCTTGTTAGGGGCTAATGCACCTGGTGACTTTAAATTAAGTCAATGTTCATTTACTATTCCAAGAATCCCAGGGCACTTAAGAACTATGATGCATCTACTCTACTCTGTGCTCTACGAATGTAACAACAAAGCCTGAATGACAGCACATATGTTTTTAGTCATGGTTTACTGAATATTTTAAGCCCACAGTTGAGACCTACTGCTAAGAGAAAAGATTCTTTTCAAACTATTACTACTTATTCATAATGCACCTGGTCACCCAAGAACTCTGATGGAGATGTACAAGGAGATTCATGTTGTTTTCATGACTACTAACACAACATCCATGCTGCAGTCTATAGATCAAGAAGTAAATTTGACTTTCAAGTCTTAATATTTAAGAAATACATTTAGTAGTAAGACTATACCTGCCATAGATAGTGATCTCTGACAGATCTGGACAAACAGCCAAAAGATTATAACTCAACAAAAGCTGAGATTATCATTAGTGATTTATAGCAATAAGGTATTTTTTAATTATGGAAGGGAAAACCTTCTGGCAAGGAGTCACCATTCTAGATGCCATGAACAACATTCATGATTTGTAGGAGATGGTTAAAATGTCAACATTAACAAGGGTTTAGAAGAAGTTGATTCCAACCCTCATGGATGACTTTGAGAGGTTCAAGACTTCAGTGGAGGAAGGAACTGCAAGTGTGGTGGAAATAATAAAAGAAATAGAATTATAAGTGGAGCCTGAAGATGTGACTATATTGCTGCAATCTCATAAAACTTACACATATGAGGAGTTGCTTCTTATAGATAAACAAAGAAAGTGGTTCCTTGAGGTGGAATCTGGTTCTGGTGAAGATGTCGTGAACATTGTTGAAATGACCACAAAGGATTTAGAATATTCCATAAACTTAGTTGATAAAGCAGCAGCAGGTTTGAGAAGACTGACTTGAATTTTGGAAGGAGATCTACTGTGGGTAAAAAGCCATCAAACAGTATCACATTGCTACAGAGAAATCTTTTGTGAAAGAAAAAAATCAATTGATGCAAAAAACTTCATTGTTGTCTTAAGAAATTACCAAAGCTACCCCAACCTTCAGCAATCACCACCCTGACCAGTCAGCAACCATCAACATCAAGACAATACCCTCCACCAGCAAAAAGATTACAACTCAATGAAAGCTGAGGTGATCATTAGTGATTTATAGCAATAAAGTATTTTTTAATTAAGGCATGTACATTGTTATTTTAAATAATACTATTGCATACCTAGTCTACTACCACATAGTATAAACATAATTTTTATATGCACAGGGAAACAAATAAATTTGTGTGACTTACTTTATTGTGATGTTCACTTTATTGCAGTGGTCTGGAACCAAACCCACAGTATCTTCAAGCTTTGCCTGTAGATCCACTATCATTTATTGAAAAGACCATCCTTTTTCTGAACTTTGTGTTATATTCTGGTGATCTATTTTGTTTTCATTTCACTGATACCTTAATATTAACTTCATTTTACAATAAAACTTGATATTTGCTAATAAAAATCTTGCAACTTCTTTTGTTGATCAAGATTGTTTTAACTTTTCTTGGCCCTTTGCATTTCCATATAATTTAAAAATCAATCTGTCAATTTCCAATTTGTCAGTGAACTGCAGCCATTTTTTTTATTGGGACTGCATTGAATCTACTGATGGATTTGAGTAGAATTAACCCTTAAAATATTGAGTCTTCTAATTGATGAACATGGTATATTTTTAAATTTATTTAGATCTTTTCAAATATTTTCAGGATATTTTGTAGTGTTCAGTATGGAGACTTTACCCATCTTCTGTTCAATTTATTCCTATTTGATGATTTTTGCTTTTATTATAAATGGTATGGTCTTTTAAATTTCATTTTCTATTCTTTTCTAACATATAGAAATACAATGTTAACCTCAGAATTGTCTTATTGTTGCGCCTTTGAGGATAATATTTTTTCTCTTTTATTCTGAAGATTTTATTTCCTTTAACTTTAGTTTTCAGCAGTCTTACAATGACATATCTATGTATGATTTACTTTTGTATTTATCTTGGTTAGAGATTTTTGAATATAAATACAGCTCAGATGCACAAATACAAAATGCAAGAAGGAGAAATACAGCTTCTTGAATTTGTGGCTTGAGGTCTTTTGTCAGTTTTGGGAAATAGTTTCTGCCAGATTCTCTCTCCTCTCTAGGAATTTTAATTGCACATATATTAGAACTTTCTACCATGTTTCATGTACCTCTTTTCTCTATTTTTGAATCCTTTTTCTCTGAGCTTCAATTCGGATTTTTGGACTGAACTATCTTCCAGTTTGCTAATGTTCTCTTCTGCTTTTAGTTATCATCAAGTTCAGGTTTAGAGCTATCAATCCAGTTATTATATTGTTCAGCTATAGAATTCCCATTTAAGTTTTAAAATAGATACCAGTTCTCAATAAAATCTCCACATTTTAATCTATTTTATGACTATTTCCATAAGTTATTTTAAAGTCTGAGTCTGATAAACTTAATATCTGGATCAAATGTGTTTCTCTTTCCATTGTCTTATTTTTTTTCTCTCTCTCTCTCTCTCCGTTGTATTTTGGTCTTTGGTCATATTTTCTGGTGTGCCTGGTAATTACAGATTAAATGCTGGACATTACGTATAAAAACTACAGAAGGACTAAATGATGATTTCCTTACTACAGAGAGCATTCGGTTTTATCTGGGCAGCAGATCACCTTGATCAAATCAGAAATTGAGCTGATTGGAGCCGAGTTTTGGGTTTTGTAAGGGCTATTTTTTCTCTTATTTGCCCTTACTCTTCAGATGTGGCCCTTTAGGGGTTCTCAATTAAAGGCCTGAAGTGCCTACCAGGAATTCTCTTTTTTGGAAGGTCCTGAACTCTGAGTTTTGTCTTCCTAGGACCATGAGACTACTAAAATCTCTGGTTAACAAGCAGTTTGTTGAGTGGTTTCTTGGTTTCTTGCCTCTTGGACTGTGCATGTTTAGTTTAGAAATAGGGCAATTCCTTGAGGAAACATTACACGGAGAATGTAGGGCTCGCTTCTCTAGAACCCTGGTTCCTCAAATCATTTGATAGTCATGAATTCTACTTTTCTCCCCAGCCCAGTAAGACTCTTGTAACACAAGGTATTATTAATTTATTTGGCCTCTATTCTGCAGAAAATTATCTATACCAAATAGTGGTGGCTTACCTCAATGCATTTTATTTCTCTCCAGTATCTTGGCCCTTTAAATCCTGGTGGCTTTGTTACTCTCTGTTGTTTAGAGCTGTTTTTCTTAGGGGGACTGCTTTATCCTGCCCTTATGGGGTTTTTTTTTTTAATTTTTTGAGAGAGGATTTCACTTTGTTGCCCAGGGTAGAGTGCAGGGGCATGATCTTGACTGCGACCCCTACCTCCTGGGCTCAAGCCATCCTCCCACTGTTCAGCCTCCCAAGTAGCTGGGACTACAGGTGTACACTCACGATGCCCAGCTAATTTTTGTATTTTTAGTAGGGGTGGGGTTTCATCAGGTTGCCCAGACTGGTCTTCAACTCCTAAGCTCAAGTAATCCTCCCACCTCGGCCGCCCAGGGTGCTCGGGTTACAGGCGTGAGCCACCATGCCTGGCCTTCACGGTCGTTTTTTGTGGGAGAGTCAGTCCAATACAAGCTATCCGTTCATAGGTGGAAGTAGAAGTTTCCCATTTCTTAATTTCTAGGAAAAATAATATGTTGTCAGAAGTCTGCATTATGTGAAGGGAATATTCTTTCTCTCCTGTGCAAGTACGGAAGGCGTCTTGTGATGCTTGTGTCTTCCCAGCCTCATTGCTTTATTTGACATTTGCCTTTAAGCAGATTTGAAGACTTCTCACAATTTGGTCACAGATTCTGTAATTTTCCATCAGTCCCTGAGGACCTGAAGTTCCTCAAACTGATCTCTGGGGAACAGAATGATTTTCCTTGGCTGCTTAGAGGCTGGGAGTGTGGTTATGGCAGCAGTAGATGCTGCTCCAAGAGTGGGCAGGGGTTAGCCTTGAAGAAGCCACTAGGATAAAATATGGGTTTGTGTCATCCAAAGCTCAATGAGGAAAACTGGCTAAAATAAATAATTCCCTCTTAAGATATGGCTGTTGACATGCCCAGGGAAATGGTTTCCATAGGAAACAATAAAAATAGCACTATTTTTAAACTGGGAAGGAATGGCACTTAGGTATCCAGATTTTAAAATAATATTGAATAACAGGAAATGTTGAAAGATTCAGCTATTTTGGTTTGACAGCATCTCTTTTTGCATTCCTCCTATTCTGGAGAAATGGAGAAGAGATAGTTCTTCATGTCCTCCATATACTTGAAAGAAATGTCAAAATGTCTTTAACCTTTTCTACGGGATAAAAATGGAAAATTCTGACACTGCAATCAGATGTTTCCATTTTTTGTCTATTGAGAGCTTTTCTTCAGTTGTTGAGAATTCTTTCAGTACACTTAGTTTCAACCAGCTACCATGAGTGTTTTTGGTTTTTTTGTCTGTTTGTTTTGTTTGTTTGTTTTGTTTTTGCTTTTGTTTTTTTTTTGTTTTTTTTTTTTTTTTGAGATGGAGTCTTGCTCTGTTGCCCAGGCTGGAGTGCAGTGGCTCAATCTCGGCTCACTGCAACCTCCACCTCCTGAGTTCAAGTGGTTCTCCTGCCTCAGCCTCCCAAGTAGCTGGGACTACAGACACACGCCACCATGCCCGGATAAGTTTTGTATTTTTAGTAGAGATGGGGTTTAGCCATATTGGCCAGGTGGGTCTCAAACTCCTGACGTCAGGTGATCTGTCCATCTTGGCCTACCAAAGTGCTGGGATTACAGGCGTGAGCCACCGCACCCAACCTACCATGAGCTTTTAAGAAATAATTTGGCTTTGATAAGAATAAATGACTCCAATTTTTCCCAGTATACTTGACTTGTTTACTACTGGTATCCAGAAATTTCTCCTTGCTTAATGAATCTTCATAAAAACATGTCTCCTCCCTTCTGATGATGGGATCATTCAGATTATGGAAATACAGACATTTACTTATGAGCAATGTGAAAAGTGTTTTTAACATTTTAAAAACTAATTTATTTTAAGAATTACTTTCTGCTTCTGGTGGAGAAACTCAGCCCACTGGAGGGAGAGTTGGAGGAAGCAGGGCCAACTGTGGGTGCGGGGAGTGCTGGAGAAAGCCAGGTCCAAGGGGGCTTCCCACGGATGCTCAGACAAATCAGGGCCTGGACTGCCCGCTCACAGATCTGAAGTTGAACCCTCAATCCCTCAGTTCTCAACCTTAAAGAGACAAAGAGTTTTAGAATTTTATTTAATACACGACAATTAAAGGTAAATTCAAATAACATCTCCATCACGGGACAGAGCTGTGTTCAGAAATGCCTCCAAGGTAAATTCTGATTGCCTAAGACCATGCTTTTGATGCCTCTGCTAGAAGTTGGTCCACATGGCATTCAGAAACAACTGTCAAAGGGAGAGTGGCTATTGTCCTTTAATGAAGTCCCTATAGCCAGGTTCTCCATGCCAGAGCTGTCGAGTGATTGAAGCCTGCTTTGAAACCTGGGGATGTCCCCTGCTCTGTCTACTATTGCTAAGAAACGTCCAGATCCCGAAGGAAATAAAAGACGTCAGGAGTAAAAAGATGGTGGTGGTTCTATTGATGTACCTAGTGATGTATTAGTATTTAGGCACAGCTTGAAAAGAGCTGAGGTAACACAAAGAAAGGTAGACAAAATAGATATTGGGCCTGGTGCGGTGGCTCATACCTGTAATCTCAGCACTTTGGGAGGCCAAGGTGGGAGGACAGCTTAAGCCCAGGAGTTCAAGACCAGCCTGAGAAGCACAGGGAGACCCTGTCTCTACAAATAATTTAAACATTAGCTGGGCATGGCGGTGTGCACCTGTGGTCCCAGCTACTCAGGAGATTGAGGTGGGAGAATCATCTGAGCCCTGAAGGTAGAGGCTGCAGTGAGCAGTGATTGTGCCACCGCACTCTAGCCTGGGTAACAGAGCGAGACTCAGTCTCAAAAAAAAAAAAAAAGAAAGGAAAGAAATAAATAGACATTGTTCTGATCTTATGATAAGAGGAATTCCCAACCTTCAAAATGAAATTTTAAAACTGCCTCCTTTTAGAAATCTTCTGGTTGCGCCAGCCAGGAGTGAATGCCTGGCCCCTCTAACTCAGCATTTACACGCTGCTCTTAGGCAGTGTTAACTCCATATGGGCCTAATTTGTATTTCCAGCATGACAGTTCCTCAATGGGAGTTATTATGTCTACAGTTACTTTGTGCCCTCTGTAGTACCAAGGAAATTACTTTAAAGCAAGTAGCTGTGTGATCTCGAGGAACTCACATAACTTCTAAAAATTTTTGCTCATTTATAAAAAGAAGATAATGATAGTACCTACCTAATTGGGATTATGTAAAGATTAAATAACTCAAGTAAACTGTGAAGTATGCTTAGCACATGATACTCAAATAAATACTGTGCATGGGTAAATTTTTATATATACATACACATACACGTAACATATATACTTCTATCTATTGATCTATACACATCTATATATATAAATATTGATGCTGGCCAGGTGTGTGTGGTGGCTCACGCCTGTAATCCCAGCACTTTGGGAGGCCGAGGTGGGTGGATCACTTGAGGCCAGGAGTTCAAGACATGCCATCTCCACTAGAAAAAAAAAATGCAAAAATTAGCTGGGCATGGTGGCACGTGCCCATAATCCCAATTACTTGGGAAGCTGAGGCAGGAAATTGCTTGAACCTGGAAGGCAGAGGTTGCAGTGAGCTGAGGTCGTGCCACTGCACTCCAGCCTAGGCAACAGAGCAAGACTCCATCACACACACACACACACACACACACACACACACACACACACACACTGATGCTATGCCATCCCAGGGCTCCCTGGCTAAGATAAAAGAAGAGCAAGCAGTGCCTGGCACACTTTCTAAACACATACCCTCCCCCTCCCTCTCAATCTTTGCAGTATTTAGTTTTTACTGTGTCCTCATCCTAAGGGAACCTGGCTAAGTGGTAGAGAAACTAGATGAGAGAGCATTTTCCCTAGTAGCCAAATGAATTTATAAATGCTTTCTTGTCACATTACGGAAACTTTCTAATAGCAAATTGTGCTGGTTGCTGCTGTCAATTTGTTGTTACGTAGAAGCTGCTAAGTGATTTCACCACCAAGGCCGCGGGTTTACAGAAACGTCTTTCCCACTCAGCAAAGACTACAGGCGACTTGACACACTACACTAGAATGAGTCCCAGCACATCTTCAGTACAGTGCAGTGGAGCAGCTTGGTACCCGTTGCCAGGGTACCACTCTCTCAATAGGGTTTCTAGGGTAACTGTCATCTCAACATCCTCGAGTTTGTATTCTGGCTATTCCTAGTATGAAGATGACAATCTGCTTCAATGCCTGAAGGTCTCTAATTTTATTCAGTATTTATGGCTTTCCTGCCCTCCTTCCTCATGCCCCATTCTTTCCAAAAACCCTTGCACATTGGCCTCCCTGCTACTTGACCACTCTCTTGGAGGAAGCACGCCCTCACAGTCTCCAAACGCAGCACTCTCCTGCCAGACCTCCATGCAGCCGATCTCCTCTCTGGAGTGTTTAAACGGTTCAGCGCCCTTCCTTTTGAAACCCTGTCCTTTATTGGCTTCTTGGGAATTATACTCTGGATTTTTCTCCTCTCTGACTAATCCATCTTTGTTGCTGTCATCCCTTCCCACCTTTTGTCCCTCAAATGTCAGCATTCCCCAAGGTTCTGCCCTGAGCTACATTTTTTCTTTGCTCTATATATTTATTCCCACAAGAATCAATCCACTCACATGCTTATTACAATAATGGGCCAATGCAGACAAGTTTAATGAAAAAAGTAAAAAATGTCACACAAAATTCTAGACATAAACATTGACATCTATCTATCTATATTTATGCATATAGTTGCATTTCATAAAAACCAGATCATTCTATGTTTGGTAACCTGATTTCTAAGAATTCAATAATCACTTGAGGTCAAGAGTTTGAGGCCAGCCTGGCCAACATGGTGAAACCCCGTCTGTACTAAAAATACAAAAATTAGCCAGGCGTGGTGGTGCACACCTGTAATCCAAGCTACTCAGTAGGCTGAGGCAGGAGAATCACTTGAACCTGGGAGGCAGAGGTTGCTGTGAGCTGAGATTGCACCACTACACTCCAGCCTGGGTGACAGGATGAGAATATGACTCAAAAAAAAAAAAAAAAAAAGAGAAAAGAAAAAATTCAATAATATGGTTTGAATATATGTATATGTCAATACAGGATTATCATCATTTTAGGTGTACCATATTGTATTTGTATTCTAGGGCTGCCATAACAAAGTACAGCAGCCTGGGTGGCTGAAGACAGCGGTCCCCAACCTTTTTGGCACAGGGACCAGTTTTGTGGAAGACCATTTTTCCATAGACCAGGGTGCGGCTGCAGGAAGATAGTTTTGGGATGATTCAAGCCCATTATATTTACTGTGTACTTTATTTCTATTATTATTACATTGTAATATATAAGGAAATAATTATACAACCCACCATAATGTAGAATCAATGTGAGCCCTGAGCTTGTTTTTCTGCAACTAGATGGTCCCATGTGGGGGTGATGAGAGACAGTGACAGGTCATCAGGCATTGGATTCTCATAAGGGCCCACAACCTAGATCCCTTACATGTGCAATTCACAATAGGGTTTGCACTCCTATGAGAATCTAATGCTGCTGCTGATCTGACAGGAGGTGAAGCTCAGGCAGGAATGACAGCGATGGGGAGGGCTGTAAATACAGATGAAGCTTTGCTTGCTTGCCCACTACTCACCTCCTGCTGTGTGGCCCAGTTCCTAACAGGCCATAGACAGGGAGTTGGAGACTCCTGGCTTAAACAACAGAAATGTATTGTCTCACAGGTCTAGAGACTAGAAGTCTGACATAAAGGTGTCAACAGGGTTAGTTTCTTCTGAGGTCTTGCTCTTGGCTTGTGGAAAGTCATCTTCTCTGTGTCTTTACATGGTCTTCCCTCTGTGTATGTCTAAGGTAATGGGTTAGGGCCCAGTCTCTTTAAAGGCCCTGTCTCCAAATACAGCCACCTTCTGAGGCCCTGGGGGTAGGACTGAACACATGAATGGGGGAAACAATGCAGCTCATAGTGCGTGTGTGTTTATATATATACACACACACATGTCCTGGTCTCTAATTAGTGTGATCCTTGTCTATATATATATTTACACACACATACACACAGGGTCTCACTCTCTCATCCAGGCTGGAGTGCAGTAGTGTGATCACAGCTCACTGCAGCCTCGACCTCCTGGGCCCAAGTGATCCTCCCACCTCAGCCTTCCAAGTAGCTAGGACCACAGGTGCATGCCAGTACAGCCAGTTAATTTTTTTTTCTTTTGTAGAGATGAAGTCTCACTCTGTTGCCCAGGCTAGTCTCAAACACCTAGGCTTAAGCAATTCTCCCATCTTGGCCTCCCAAAGTGCTGGGATTACAGGCATGAGCCACCATGCCTGGCCATAGCGCATATATATATATATATATATATATATATATACACACACACACACACATATATATACACATATATATATACACATATATACACACACACACACACGTATATATGTATATATGTGTGTGTGTGTATATATATATATATATATATATATTTTTTTTTTTTTTTTGAGACAGAGTCTCACTCTGTCGCCCAGGCTGGAGTGCAGTGGTGCAATCTCAGCTCACTGAAGCTCTGCCTCCCGGGTTCATGCCATTCTCCTGCCTCAGCCTCCCAAGTAGCTGGGATTACAGGTGTGAGCCACTGTGCCCAGCCCATAGCACACATATTTTTAAAAGGAATTCATTTGTGGTCATTTAAGCCATTTTTTCAAGTATTTAAATAATACCATGATAGTTATATTTTATCCTTAGTTTTGGAATTTTCTTATCATCCCTTTGGTTGATGAGTTGAATTTCACGAGTGGTCTAGACCAAATGCCGACTTCCCCTGTGAAACTGATCACAGGCAACCATTCCTTAACCTGTGACCCTGTGCTCTGCTGCGTGCTCCATCATCGTGGTAATTATTCTACTCTGCCCTGTGAGGGAGTCCTTAGTTACACTTTTGTCAATACACTTAACGTCAAAGACTGGTTCTTACGCGTCCCTGCACCCTCCCAGCCTAGAGCACATTTGTGGGACTCTGTGGATGGATGGAATTCACCAAAGTTACACTAATTCCCCTCAGGTGCTCAACACTTTCAAGGTTCAAACCTTATTTTTTCACATCATTTAGGCTCCCTTTGTCTCCTTTTCTTCTTGGTTCTTTCTTTCCATATTATTTTTATTTTTTATCCTAAAGAGATTTTTCAAAGCTTTGCCTCAAACTCACTGAACATCTGTGTTAACCTAGATAGCTAGATTTGTGGCACTGTTAAGACACCTAAGTTAAGAAATGGAATTTTATTATGCATTTTCCCTTTTGCCAGGAGGATAATAAATATTTAGTGAAGAGCTGATTGAGATCAAGTAACATGGTAAGTTTTTCTCGTGGTGATGAGTTTACGCATGGACAGAACCATCATAGGGGCCTGAAAATATTCACTTAGTGTAACTTAGTGCTTCACCCTATTTGCACCTTTCCAGTGAATTACACGTGCATTTCACCTTTTCCAGGTGTTCCTACTAACCTGTGCTTGACAGCTCCTATGTTTTGCCTAAACCTCAATGATCAACGCTGCTAATAAACTGCTGTTCTACGTCTCAGTAGATGTGGATGCTGACCTCCCTCAGCAACAGAGGACAAGGGCTGCACTAATTAGATACCAGGACATGTTCAAAAGGGAATGCCCTTAAATTTGGTGGTTTGTGGAGGATAGATTTTTATCTGAGGAAACATATTGTTTGGAAACTCTTTCAGTTATTTCTAAGCAAATTGGTTTAGAAATAACTAAAATTAAAAAGTGATCTTATTACTGGCTGGGTGCAGCAGCTCATACCTGTAATCCCAGCACTTTGGGAGGCTGAGGCAGGTGAATTGCCTGAGCTCAGGAGTTCGAGACCAGCCTGGCCAACATGGTGAAACCCCCATCTCTACTAAAAATAGAAAAATTAGCTGGGCATGGTGGTGCATGCCTGTAGTCCCAGCTACTCAGGAGGTTGAGGCAGGAGAATTGCTTGAACCTGAGAGGCGGAGGTTACAGTGAGCCAAGATCACGCCACTGCAATCCAGCCTGGGAGACAGAGCTGGCTGGAGCTCTGTCTTAAAAGACAGAGACTCCGTCTTAAAAAACAAACAAAAAAAGCAATCTTATTACTTTTGAAATTAAAAAGTAATCTTATTCATCAAAAAAATTAGGAAATACTGGCCAGGCACAGTGGCTTAAGCCTGTAATTCCAGCAATTTGGGAGGCTGACTTGGAAGGATAGCTTGAGGCCAGGAGTTGGAGATCAGCCTGGGCAACATAGCAAGACCCCTGTCTCTACAAAAAGTAACAAAATTAGCCAGCCGTGGTGGTGCACACCTGAAGTCCCATCAACTCAGGAGGCTGAAGTGGGAGAATCACTTGAGCCTAGGAGTTTGAGGCTGCTGTGAGCTATGATCATGCTACTACATTCCAGCCTCAGGGACAGAGTGAAACCCTGTCTCTAAAAATAAAATATTTGGAAATATTGTAGGAATAAAAAAACCCTTTTAGATAATAATAAAATATAATACTCTCCCCTGTACCCACATATAACACAAGAAGTAAAATATTATACATTCAACTTAAACTCCTTATTCTTTTTTAATTCTTTTCTCCTTTCTTCCCTTGCAGATATAACAAATATCCTGAATTTTGTGTTCAGCATTCCTTTTGATTTTTTCTGAATTTTAGAATAAATGTATTTAACTATAAACAATGTATCCTGTTGTAATTCATATAAAAGATATCATAATATATGGAAACTCCAGCAAATTTCTCTTTCCATTCAACATCATTTTTTCTGAAATAGTTTATTCTTACATTTCTAATTATTTCATTTCACTCTCATATAATATTCTATTTTATGAATAGTCCACAATTTATCTAGTCTCCTACTAATGGATATATAGGTTGTTTTTAGTTTTAATTTTGTTTTTTACTATCAAAAACAGTGCTTTAATGAAAGCTCTTGGATACGTCTTCTTCTGCACAGTACTAATTGCCTAGATGGAGGTATTGGATGAGAGTTCTGTTGTTTCACCTCCTCATCAGCATTTGGTTTTGTTTCCATTGTGGTTTCTTCACTATCATTGCTTACTACAGAAAGTTGTGCAGAACAAGAATTGTCTTAGTCGGTTCAGGCTGCTGTAACAAAACACCATATACTGGGCGGCTTAAATAGCAGACATTTATTTCTTATAGTTCTGGAGGCTGGAAGTCCAAGATCAAGGTGATTATGATAAATATGCATATTTTTAGTGGTTATTTTAGTGGCTATTTCCAGAATAGTCACTTAAAAATAAGGCAAAGAAGTACAGCTAAAAAGCCAGTAGAGAAATTAAAATTTTTGATAAAAATTTTTGATTAAACTAAAAGAAGGCAGGAAAGGAGTTACAAAGAATCAAAGTATAGGATCAGTTATATAGTTATACAGTTTGATCTTATATTTTAATTCTTTATAACTCTTTGTATTTTATTTAATGGTAGGCCTAAATCTAATCATATCAATAATTACATCAAATGTAAAGGTACTAAGCATGCTCATTAAGAACAGATTGTCAGACTAGATTTATTAAAAATCAAGACCTAACTACATGCTGTTTAAAAGGGTTACCCTGTGTAAAGTATCAGAGGGAATGAAATCAAATAATGGAAAAAGATATACTATGTAAACAGCACATATAAAAAATCTGAGATGGCTACATTAATACCAGATAAAAGAGACTTCAACACAAGGAAGAGAAACAAGTTTTAGTAAGTGTAAAAGAATGGGCCAGGCAGTGGTGCTATGATTGTAATCCCAGCACTTGGGAGGCTAAAGCAGGAGGATCGCTTGAGCCCAGGCATTTGAGACCAGTTTGGGTAACATAATGAGAACTTATGTCTACCAAAAAAAAAAAAAAAAAAACAAACAAATTAGCCAAGCATGGTGGTGCATGCCTGTAGTCCCAGCTATTCTGAAGGTAGAGGCAGGAAGATCTCGAGCCCAGGAATTCAAGGCTGCAGTGAACTGTGATCATGTCACTGCACTTCAGTCTGGGTAATAGAGTGAGACCCTGTCTCAGAAATAAATAAATAACTAAACTAAACTAAATAATAAACAAAAGGATTAAAATCTTACAGATTTTCTGACCACAAAATAATTAAGTTAGAAATGAATAGCTGTATGTAGAAATTAAATAACTTACTCTTTTTTTTCATAAAGCTATATTTTTTCCATTTAAATGACAACCTTTATTCTGAGATTATATTCTTCCTAATTTTAGGGGCTAAAATACATTTTCTTTTACATAATGTGCTGATAGCAGGTGGTTATTTGTTTTGTTTGTTTTTATGTACTTAGCCGGCAAAATTAAAAGCCAGAAACTGAGGCCCCAATTATTTTTTTTTAATACAAATCTACTGATGCTTAAAACTCAGAGCTTAGGCACCACAGATTTGGTAAAGGCCAATCTTCTTGTTGCATATTTCACAATATTGAATTCTTTCTTGGTGAGTTCCCCATACAAGTTATGAAGCAGGATAAAAGTCAGTCTTATATTAAGTCAGTGTAAATATGGCCTTAATTTCAATCACCAAAGAAATGTATTTTTGTTGTACACCATGGTTACAGCATGTTTTATTAAAACTAATTATACTAGTACCTACCAAGAGAATATCAATTTAAAAGTTATAATGCCACTTCTATGATGTCATTACTTCTATAGGACTAGCCTGTGTCACATGTGTGAGCAATATTGGTCCAATGCAGAAACAAAGAAGTCTGGGTGTCCAAGCAGGCCACTTTTCTGGGTTAGGGTTTCAGTGGTACCATAGATGGCTGCCAGTCTCAATGTACACTTTGGCCCATTTATCTTTATAAATCATACCATATAGCTTTGATATTTACATACATTTAAACTGAGAAGAAATATGCACTACAAAAAAGCACAGTTGAGTGGGTTTCATGTGTCAGAAATAACTCCATATTTCACAGTTATTTTTATGTCATTAGCTACCCTTGATAAAGAACGATTCCATATAAACGTACAAACTGGAACATAATTTTATAAAACTTTAAAGAGATCTTTGTAAATCACAGTGTGTTTGCTTATAAACAAATCAAATCAATTAATCTTCATTTCTTCAAAGTGTCAAAAACAACAGAGTAGCTGGACATTACTTTTTCTAATCAGTTTCAGAGAAAATACAGGAATAATGATCAATGGCATTTTGGAGCAGATAAAACTGCTGAGTTTTATGTTTGGGTCTTTCATTCTGTGATTTGCTATAATAGTATTCCTTCCTATTAGCTGTTCTTGACAATATTAGTTCTATATTCATTTGAAATGAGCATTTATATTAAACTCCAAAATTACCTCTGGTAGTATCCAGAATATATGTCAGAAACCCCTAAAAGCAACTTCTGTTTTCCTCTTAATTAAGATAACATTTAGTCATGTTAATAACTATTCAAACAACAACTTCAGATTTTCAAGACCAGTAGGATGCCTTGCAGTAAGCATGCATAGGCTGGTGCACCTGGCCAAGTTATAATGCAGTTATCAATAGTTAGTTCTTCTTGGTTTTTTTCAAATAGCGATCCCGTGTAGACTTTTCATAGCCATGATTATTTTAAAATAAATCCAAGACGGCAGGATTGAGATTATCAAGCCCATAAGAGCATAGATCAGGTATCCATTGGTTTGGGATTGCAGGCCTACTGTTTTAATTGCAGACTTCAAAATGTCCCCGAAGAGGGCTTATCCAAAGTTGGCTTTCGGATTTTAGCCAGTTTTATAGCTACGAAGTATGGCAGGACACTCTGCACAAAGATGCCCTTGCTCCTATACTCCCCATGGAGGCACTGAGAGAAGAAATCAACAAAAGTCTTGGTTGCAGAACAGATCGTCAACAGTGGGACGGGGAACATGCCTCTGCCAGCGGAGAGGTTCAGATTCACCCCTTTAGATCTTTCCATCAAGCCAGGTGCACCAACTGTGTCATCTTACAAACAGAGAGAATATTAATATTTATCATTTTCTTGATCATATTGTCCAAGTCAGGAATGTCCAAAAAGTATTTGGGATACTCATATGACATTCCCACGTTGTTCACTAAGACGCCGATTTCAAGACCAGCCAAGCCTGTTTTAATTTTATCATAAATATCTTCTGATGCAGTCAACAGCAATGGTTCTTGTCTCCACTTTGAAGTTTTCTTTTATTTCCCTGGAAACCTGGTCAAGTTTATCCTGTAATCTGCTGATAAGGACAACCGCCATTTCATGTTTTGCTAACTCTTCTGCATACGATTTTCCAGTTCCATCAGTACTACCTGATGTGCCCATTCCCCAAGCCCTGGGCGGACCTCCGACTCGTTCCCCACTCCCCAGACCCAGAGGGCCCTGAAGAGCGAGTAGCAGATGCGCAGAGCTAGGTAGGCCACGGTGCCTGCAGTGCCTGCGCCTACCCAGTACAGGAAGCTGGCAGCGGGGAGAGCACTCTCTATGGCTTTCCATTAGGGCTCACTACCTTCGTGAATCTAAACAACTTACTTCTAAATAAACCATGGATAAAAGCAAAAATCATGAGAAGAAATCTAAGGAGAAAATTAGAAAATACTTTAAACTCTGATAATAAAGATACAACATATGAAAATGTGTGGGATGCAGGTAAGGTGGTCCTTAGAGGAAAATTTATAGGTTTAAATACTTGTATTTGAAAACAAAAAAGTTTAAAATTAATCTAAGTTTTTATCTTAAGAATCTAGAATAAGATGAGCAAATTAAACCCAAAGAAAATAGACGGGAAGTACTTATAAAGATAAAAGGTATAAATAAAATAGAAAACACACAATAGCTTAA
The DNA here is from genome assembly GCF_000001405.40 of Homo sapiens. Classification (NCBI taxonomy): domain Eukaryota; kingdom Metazoa; phylum Chordata; class Mammalia; order Primates; family Hominidae; genus Homo; species Homo sapiens. Next base: position 157,367,279 of record NC_000006.12, read on the forward strand.
ACTAACAAAGCAAAAGTTGTTTTTCTCAAAAAAAAATTAATGAAATGGATAAACCTCAGCAAGAGTGACTGAGAAAAATTGATCATTCGGACATTAAATAGATAATAACAAGACTATGAACAACTTAAACTAAATAGAAAAATTCCTTGAAAAACATAGCTTACCAAAACAGACCCAAGATGAAAGAGAAAATAAGAATAGCTCTGTATCTTTTAAATAAATTGAATTTTCTATCATCAACTTCTTCTCAAATAGAATTCCAGAAGCAAATGAATTGACTGGTGAACTTTACCAAACACTTAAGAAAGAAATATCAATTTTACAAAAACCATTTCAAAAACATAGATGAGGAAACAATTTCCATCCCATGTCATGAGGCAGGAGAATCCTGAAGCCAATACCTGACAAAGACATGACAATAAAAAGAAAAGAAAAAATATATCATTAACCAGTTACCTTCATGAACGTAAATGTATTTTTTTCATACAATGTTAGCAATTCAAATCCAGCAATATATGAAAAGGACAATATATGTTGATCAAATAAGGATTTTCTCAGAAATGTAAAAGTTTATTTATTTACTTTTTGAGAGGGTCTCTCTCTGTCACCAGGCTGGAGTGCAGTGGCATGATCTCTGCTCACTGCAACCTCCACCTCCTGGGTTCAAGCAATTCTCCTGTCTTAGCCTCCTGAGTAGCTGGGATTACAGGCACACGCCACCACGCTTGGCTAATTTTTGTATTTTTAGTTGAGACGGGGTTTCGCCATGTTGCCCAGGCTGGTCTCGAACACCTGAATTCAGGTGATCCACCAGCCTCGCCCTCCCAAAGTGCTGGGATTACAGGTGTGAACTACCACGCCTGGCCCTAAAGGTTTTTTTTAGCATCCAATTATTAAGCAATGTAATTTATCATATTAGTAAAATAAAGGAGAAAACTATGTCAATAAGCGCAGGAAGAACATATGACAAAATTCAACACCCCAACATATAAAAACTCTCAGCAAACAAGAAATAGAAGAAAATTTTTTCAACCTGATAAAGGGCATCTAGAGAGGTACCGAAAGGTAACATTATACTTAATGATAAAATATCTGATGCTTTCACCCTAAGACTGGGAATATGTAAGGATGTCATCATAAATTTGTTTAATATAGTTGCTGCCTTGGCATCCATTTTTAGGCCTAATGTAAGTTGTTTACAACCAAGTCATAGCCCATCACCTTTGCCCTAGTTAAAACTACCCCCCGGCCCCGCCTAGTTGTTTTTGCTATAGCCCACTTGCTTTTCATCCCACTAACTCAAAACCCCATACACCCCACAGCTGCTACCACTGTAAAACTGAATCATCAATACCAGAGTCATGGAAGCAAGTTCTCCAATCTGTATTTTCATTAAACTATCCAGTCCACAAACCTAGGAGATAGTGCCCACGGACCTTAATGAAGACATAGTCCCAGAAGTCCCTCCCCACCCCCGACCCGCCCACTGGATGAACTCCTCAAAGCCTCCAGACTCCCCACTGGCCTCCTGCAGGCACCCTTAACCTCTCTGGGACCTATGAGCAATACATTTCTTTGGTTTCATGCATCTTGGTTTTATTTCCTCATCATATCTCACCTGACTGATACACAGGAACCTAACTTTTCCCTCAGTTAGAGTTCTCCTAGAGAGGGGTTATCTTGCCCTACGGGCACTCTTGAGATGGGACTTGGCTGTAGAGGTGGGGCTCAGACACCAAACCCGACTGAGGACTAGCTAAAAGCAGGGGACAGCCAGACACATTGTCTCACGCCTGTAATCCCAGTACTTTGGGAGGCTGAGGCGAGTGGATCACCTGAGGTCCGGAGTTCGAGACCAGCCTGGCCAACATGGCGAAACCCTGTCTCTAATAAAAATACAAAAATTAGCCTGGCATGGTGGCGGGAGCCTGTAATCCCAGCTACTCTGGAGGCTGAGACAGGAGAATCACTTGAACCCGGGAGGCGGAGATTGCAGTGAGCCAAGATCGTGCCACTGCACTCCAGCCGGGGGCGATAGAGCGAGACTCTATCTCATAAATAAATAAATGCATAAAAGAGGGAGCAAAATCAGCTTTCAATCAGACATGCCTGCCAGTGTGCCATGTCACTTTACCGTTGTCATGGCAACATCTGGGCATTACTGCCCCTTTTTATGGCAATGACGCAATGACCCAAAAGTTGCAGCTCCTTCCCTAGAAATTTCTGCATAGACCACCCTTTAATCTGCATGTAATTAAAAGTGGGTATAAATATGATTGCAGACCTGCCCAGAGCTGCTGCCCTCTGCCTTTGGGGTGGCCCTGCTCTGCAGGAGCCATTGCGGAGCTGCAACACTGCTGCTTCAATAAAGCTGTTTCCTTCTACCTCTGGCAGGTCCTTGAATTCTTTCCTGGGCAAAGCCAAGAACCCAGCAGGCCATGTTCCACTTTGGGGCTTGCCTGCCCTGCATCACTCTCGAGAGACCTCAAGACGAAATTAGAAAGAAACCATAACAATAGAAACCACAACAATAGAAACCACAACAGATGTCTACTATTTTACTTTCTTCATTGTTCAACACAAAAAAAGGAAGAACTGTAAAATAAGTATTTAATGCTATTTGCTGGTCTGCTTTTTTGTGGTGGCATGGACTAGTAATTCGGAAACCTTTTTGTCTTCTAGGCTTGAGGATATGAGTAAATGTATTGAGGATCATGGGAGGAAGAAGCTACAGATGTGAAAAGTGGGAAGGATGGACTATAGATGCAGTTTTAAATTGGAATTATAGGTTATCAGCTTGAACACACGGTGTTTTAACATTGAAGAAAGTAAACATCTATACATATGTGTGTCTATGTTTTTTTAAAGATAGAAACAGAGATGAACAAACACATATATATTTTCCACTGAAAGGAACTTAGGGACCCTTGGAGAAATGACAGATTGCAGGGCTGGAAAGACAAAGTACATGATGAGGCTGGAACATTTGACTAAATCAGATAGAAGAGAGGCAACCATTCAATGAATGTCAAATTCAATAGGGGCGGCCGGACGCTATGGCTCACACCTGTAATCCCAGCACTTTGGGAGGCCTAGGTGGGTGGATCACCTGAAGTCAGGAGTTTGAGACCAATCTGGCTACCATGGTAAATCCCTGTCTCTACTAAAAATAGAAAAATTAGCTGGGCGTAGTGGTAGGTGCCTGTAGTCCCAGCTACTCAGGAGGCTGAGGCACAAGAATCGCTTGAACCCGGGAGGCAGAGGTTGCAGTGAGCCAAGATCTCCCCACTGCACTCCAGCCTGGGCGATAGAGTGAGCCTCCATCTCAAAAAAAAAAAAAAAAAAAGAAAAGAAAAAAATTACATAGGGGTTAGCTTAAGGAGCTAATTCTAGCCACCTCTAGAATAATTTGAACATCAAAATAACTATCAGTAAGAATAGATTTTAACCCATTGAATAAAATAAGTATCTGGAAGGCCATGCTGATATAAATACACCAGTTTGTATAGCATGAATGGTACATAAATGGGGAGAAGGGAAAATGCTTCCTTGCCATAAAATGCCAGGAAAGAGAGAAGGAGAGAAGAAAAGGGGGGGGGGGAGGGGAGAGGGAGGGAAGGAAGAAGGAAGGAAGGGAAAAAATTAGAAATTATTGGGTGAAAGTTTGATGAAGAACAAAATATTTACACAATCTCTGCCTTTGTAATTATTATTATTATTCTGAGATGGTGTTTTGCTCTGTCACCCAGGCTGGAGTGCAGTGGCATGATCACAGCTTACTGCAACCTCTGCATCCTGGGCTCAAGCATCCTCCCTGCTAAGCCTCCTGAGTAGCTGGGATTACAGGCACGCACCACCATGCCTGGCTAATTTTTCTATTTTTTTGTGTAGATACGAGGTTTTGCCACGTTGCCCAGGCTGGTTGGTCTCAAACTCCTGAGCTCAAGTGACCCACCCACCTCAGCCTCCTAAAATGCTAGGATTACAGGCATGAGCCACCGCGCCCAGCCACTATCTTTGTAACTGTTAATTACAATGGAAAAATGGAACTTTATATTGGAAAAACCTGGTGGAACCACCTTACCCTAACGATCAAAACGAACATCATTAATATCGGGACCACCAGCATCGTGTGCCTTTTGATATGGTACTGAGAAAGACACAGCATTACTGCATTGGTCCTCCTATCAAAAATGCATAACCTGATTTCTGTCCCCAAGGCATCCAAATGAGCTAAATAAAAAGGTGGAGAAAAGTCCTAGCTTATTAGGAAAAAAAGTATATCTGTGTCATCCCAGAAAAGATGTAAGATAAAGTATAAGTTACTATGTTACTTATGTTTTGAAATAATTTTAAACCCAGAAATGAGTCTGTATTAGAATTAAAATGTCTCTTAAGGTGAAATATTATAGAAACAACAGAAAGTTATAAAAATGAGAAGTTTTAGAAAATGTATTTGCACTCTTTATCTTACTGAATTATCTATAATCAGGAATAATCTTAATATTTTTATACACAAACTGAAAGAATCCTCAGATTTTATTAATGTAAAGTTATCCAGATGTTCGTAGGAAAACAAAGACACACACATTTTTTCCCCTGAATGTAGCAATCAGGCTATTGGCCCCCTGAAGAAATCCTTGTGAGTAAGTAGACACTCTCATAGATATCTCAATTACTTTTAGGAAGAAAACAATATTAAATAGTGAAAATTGCTAAGTGAGAAAAAGGAAAATCATAATACATTTAACACCTGCATATGAATTGACTATTCACAAGGCAGTTTCATATATATTTTTTTAATCTCACAAACAACATTTGAGGTAGGTGGTTTCAGTTGTTCGTTCCAATGAGGTTTTTATTCCACAGAAATGCCAACAAGGATGCCAAGATGAAAAAATCACTTGAGGCCAGGAGTTTGAGAACAGCCTGGTCAACATAGTGAGACCCCCATCTCTACAAAAAATAATAGTAATTAGCTGGATGTGGTGGAATGCACCTGTAGTCCCAGCTACTTGAGAGGCTGAGGTTGGAGATCGCTCAAGCCCTGGAATTTGAGGTTACAGTGAGTTATGATAATGCCACTGCACTCCAGCATGAGCAACAGAGTGAGACCATATCTCTTAAAAACACACACACAAAGGATGCCCAGTAAAGTTTGTGCTTGGATCTGGTTTCCATGTATTTGGAAAATAAATAAACGTGAAACGAATTGTTTTTTTGACTAGCTTTAGTTTAGAAATCGCAATAGACATTTCTCAAAATCCATTCTTTACAGAGAAGACCAGAAACTTTTGAAATCCAATTTAGATTCTTTCTGATTAAGCAACATTGTTAGTAGAGAGAAGCATTTCTTTGTTTTGCTCATGTCCTTTGAAGAGTAAATAACTGCTGACTGTCCAGATGTAGGTGTTAGGAAAATCAGTGCTGAGCTCTGGCCTTTGGAGCCAGACCTGCAGAACTCAGAGGCTCACCCTGTGGTGTTTTCCCTGCTGGGCCTGATCTTAGGATAGTAAAATTGTTTCTCATTGCTCAAGGAAGCTTCTCGTTTTACCATCATATTTACTGTTCTGTGGCACATTTTACAATTAATCAACAAAATTGTTTTGGTGACTTTGTATCTCTTCATAATTTCTGCTTCCTTAAAACGGAGTGCATCTTATTTTGTTTCTCAGTTTAAAAATGTCTGTATTTTGCGTCAATTTTGGCCTGGGCTGGCGGCACACTCTCTAGACTTCAGCAGCACCAGCAGCTGGAAACAGCATAGGTGTGATTCTTCAAAAGTGCTGTCATCATTGAGTGAGGAGCTGAGGTCCAGGAAGAGCAGGCCAGGCTGGAGCAGGTATCTTGTAGTTTTATCAGTGCAGCCCCAAGGTAGTGTCTTGGCCTCAGGGAGGCCACCACGGCCTGCGTTGGACAGCCGAAACCTGGTTTACGCCCTCTCCTGAATTTGATTGTGAAGAAACATCAGACAAACCCCAATCGAGAGATATTCTACAAAATAAAGGACGCCACTCTTCCAAAATGTCAAGATCAAGAAGCTCAAAGAAAGGAGGTAGGACTGTCCCATGTGAAAGGAGATATAAAAGGTTTAACAACTGAGTGTGATGGACTGGATCCTGAATTGGGAAAAATTAACCATATAGGACACTATTAAGACAACTGAAGAAACTGTAATATGGGCTGCATGTATGTGTGTGTATACGTTTGCCTATAATTATGAGTCTGGAGAAGGCTATACAACATGTTATTAACATTGATTACCCGAGGGAAGGGTGGGGATGGGAAATTAAGAGAAAAATACTACAATTTTTTTTTAAAGCACACAGGATGAAAGTAGCATGTATGATATGATTCCATTTTTGTTAAATGATATGGATATAAGTGTGTATGTATGCATAAAATGAATTATACAAAGATGGTCAACAAATCATTAACCATTGTTTTCCAAGGTGATGGGAATTTGAACTTTTACATTCTTCGTATTTGTTTTTATTTATTTATTTATTTTTGAGACGGAGTCTCGCTCTGTCGCCCAGGCTGGAGTGCAGTGGCGTGATCTTGGCTCACTGCAAGCTCAGCCTCCCAGGTTCATGCCATTCTCCTGCCTCAGCCTCCCGAGTAGCTGGGACTACAGGCGCCCGCCACCACGCCCGGCTAATTTTTTCTATTTTTTGTAGAGACGGGGTTTCACCGTGTTAGCCAGGATGGTCTCGATGTCCTGACCTTGTGATCCACCTGCCTTGGCCTCCCAAAGTGCTGGGATTACAGGGGTGAGCCACATTCTGCATATTTTTGTGTAGTATAATTTTTTTCAATGCACAAGTATTATTTTTATAAACATACTAAAAAGTAATATTTTTGTGTCACAAAAGCAAGAAAAAGTCACTCAGGGAACAACTATAAGAAAGTTTTGAGGCCGGGCGCGGTGGCTCATGCCTATAATCCCAGCACTTTGGGAGGCCGAGGCAGGCAGATCACGAGGTCAGGAGATGTAGACCATTCTGGCTAACACAGTGAAATCCCGTCTCTATTAAAAATACACAAAAAAAAAAAAATTGGCTGGGCGTGGTGGCAGTCGCCTGTAGTCCCAGCTACTCGGGAGGCTGAGGCAGGAGAATGGGGTGAATCCGGGAGGCGGAGCTTGCAGTGAGCCAAAATCCGCCACTGCACTCCATCCTGGGCGACAGAGCGAAACTCCGTCTCAAAAAAAAAAAAAAAAAGAAAGAAAGTTTTGAGGCGAGGCACGGTGGCTCACGCCTGTAATCCCAGCACTTTGGGAAGCCAAGGAGGGCAGATCACCTGAGGTTGGGAGTTCGAGACCAGCACGACTAACATGGAGAAACCCCGTCTCTACTAAAAATACAAAATTAGCCGGGCATGGTGGCGCGCGCCTGTAATCCCAGCCATTGCACTCCAGCCTGGGCGACAGAGCCAGACGCTGTCTCAAAAAAAAAAAAAAAAAAGTTTTGAATTAAAGTTTTTCTGCTTCAAACTAATATTTTCTTGTAGTGCTGAGTTTATTATTATATTTTAAGCACCTTACATATTTCAACACAAGATGTTCCCAGCTGTGCTGAGCACATGCTAAAGTGGGAGCTGACTCTCTGGGTTGGAAGAAATTAAGGTGTCTGATTTTCTGAAGAATCTTGTTTGGTATAGAAGCTTCAGCAGTTACTTCCAGCCATCCTAGAACTCTCTCATGACATCCCTTCTGGCGATTTCGGAGTTCTCCTAGGACTGTGACACTTTGACCTGTATGTACCTTGACCACGTGAACAGCACACTCATTTTTGGCCCTGAAAGGTATATAAATCATGTCCTGTCCTGGAATCTGAATGTCTTCCCTTTTCACAGTGGATAAGGCTATACTTCCTCTTGGCTTCTTGAAGGTATGCTGAGAACTAATGAGATGGGTTTGTGGAATGCTTTGAGCTGCTGACATGAAAAGAACAATGCTCTAGCTTTGTGAATAACATAACCCCTATTGTCAGTGAATCCACTGAGTCAGATGAGGACAGGGAGAGACCTACTAGAATCAAAGATACTAACAAACCAGGGAGGGCCAGCTCGTTGCTGTAATTGCTGATGGCAGTGACAACTGAGGAGAGTGATGAAAACGTAAAGAAGGTAGAGTAATGCTCCCAGAAGGAGGTCTCGACTAATAACAGATGGGGAATTGGTGAATAAACTTCAGCTTTCTTGCCCCTCAGTTGGGATAACTCTGGCAGGTTGCACACCTCGGGCCTCCCAGAGTCCCCTAGAGCAGGGATCCCCAAACCCCAGAGACACGGACCAGTACTGGTCCACGGCCTGTTAGGAACCGGGCTGCGCAGCAGGAGGTGAGCAGTGGACAAGTGAGCGAAGCTTCATCTGTATTTACAGCCCTCCCCGTCGCTCGCATTACTGCCTGAGCTCCATCTCCTGTCAGATTAGCATTAGATTCTCATAGGAGTGTGAACCCTGTTGTGAACTGAGCATGTGAGGGACCTAGGTTGCATGCTCATTATGAGACTCTAATGCTTGATGATCTGTCACTACCTCCCATCACCCCCACTGGGGCCGTCTAATTGCAGGAAAACAGCTCAGACTCCCACTGATTCTACCTTATGGTGAGTTGTATAATTACTTCTTTATATATTATAATGTAATACTAATAATAGAAATAAAGTACACAATCAATGTAATGCACTTGACTCATCCCAAAACCATGCCCCCATCCCCTCACCCTCCAGTTCGTGGAAAAATTGTTTTCCACAAAACTGGTCCTTGGTGCCAAAAAAGTTGGGGACCACTGCCCTAGAGGGTCCGATTTCGGTGGCCCACCATGGTAGCTTGCTCGATAGCGCATGCTTTATTGGTTTCTTTTCCCTCCCTATCTCACTTCCTCACTCTTCTGCTGGTGTTTTCTGCAATCCCCTCCCAAATAAACTAATTGTGCTTGGATCCCTGTCAGTTCTACTCCAGCTAGAAACATCATGCACTTTCCCAATAATTTACTTTTCTGTACCCATCCCCATTTCCCTGAGAGACTAACCCTTTCATATTCTTCCTGTCCAAACTGTCAAGGTCAGAGGTGCACTTTGCTACAGGCTGGGCCTGAGATTTCTCTTCACTCTGAAATCAAGATGATTTCTCTATTCCACTCAGTTGTTGGTTCATCAGACCGCGTGCTCTTTCCATTGTGTGGGGGATATAGGAAAGCTTGAGTCAGACATTCATACCTGGCCTAGAATCTTGACTCTATTACTTACTTACTGCAAAACCCTGGGCAAATCACCTAACTTCTCTGATCTTCAGTTTCCTCCTCTGTGAAATAAAGATAATAATCCCTGCCTCATCAGGTTGTCCTCCGGATTTAATGATCTAAATGTATAAAGAACCAGGAGATTGACTAATACAAAAATACTCTGGAGAAAAGATCATTATTTTTATAATATCGTTCTCTTGTATTATTGAATTTCTCATGTGCCTCCATCTTGTTTCCCAACCTTAACTGTAGTTTCTCTGCCGCATTTACCTTCATCATACTGACCTGCACGTGACAAGCACTAAACATTATCAATTTTCTAAAGCTTTAAAGTGCTAAAAGAAAAACTTCAGCTGAATTCAATTTAAAATAGTTTAACTGAGCAAAGAATGATTCATGAATTGGGCAGCCTCCTGAGCCAGGGTAGCCTCAAAGACTGCAGTGCAGTCGCGTGGTGGAAGAGAATTTATGGACAGAAAAAAGAAAGTGACGTACAGAAAGCGGAAATGAGGTACGGAAACAGCCAGATGGTTACAGCTCAGCATTTGTCTTATTTGAACATGGTTTGAACAGCTGGCCACAATTGAGTGGCCAAAACTCAGTAATTGACACCCGAGTAGATCACACTCTGTTTACACTTCCATTTAGGCTACAGTTCAGTGTACAGAGAAACCTTTAGGCCAAACTTAAAATATGTAAAGAGGCAGTATTAGGCTAAACCCCATTTAGCAAAAGTAGATCATGCACTCTTTCAATTCAATTCAAGACTCATTTTTGGATTATTTGTTATTGGCGAGGCATTCTCAAGGAATTTTTAGCAGGTCTTTTGACTTTTCAGTGTCCTTGTTTGAGAAATACAAGTTTTGGTCTCTAATTCTAGATACGCTGACGTCCCTCTAGCATTAAAGTTTGGAATCTATACATTCCTGGAGGGCAAGGACGGTGATTTTTCTTTCAGACCCCTCAACACTTACACCGATGGTGGGTACAGAGTGTGGCATACAGAATTGATGCTGGTGCACACAGAATGAATTCCTGTTCCTTTTTCCCTCTCTCCCTGGCCCTCGCTCCACTCCAGCCAGACTGGTTTTTCTTTGTACCCCTAGAATTTTCCAGGTTGTTCTGCCTTGAGGACTTGGTACTTGCCCCTTCCCATCATTCGATTCTCTGCCCGACCCCAGTCTCTCCATCCCATAACCCTGCTTTGTTTTTTCGTTCTTGTAATTACTCTCTGAAATTGTCTTACTAGTCATTTATTTATTTGTTTATTCTCTCCACCTCTCCCCCAGTCCCCAAATATAAGCTTCTATCTTGGATCTTTTTGTATCACTGCTGCTAAAACAGTACTTAGCACAATCTAGGCCCTGAAATAGATAACTGTAAAATAAATGAATAAACTCTACCATCCCTTATACAGTAGGTTTTACAGTCATCCCTCAGTATCCTCAGGAGATTGGTTCCAGGATCACCTGCGTATACCTGAATCTGCACATATTCAGGTCCTTAAACAGGCTCCACAGAACCTGCATATAGGAAGAGTGGGCCTTTGCCCTCTGAATACTCGCATTTCCCATCCCACGGATGCTGTATTTTCCATCTGCATTTGGTTGAAAAAAATCCGTGTCTAAGGGCATCCACGCTGTTCAAACCCATATTGTTCAAGATCAACTGTAGCTGGTGAGGTGAACTCTGCAGCTATCACACACCAGGTTCTAGTGAACGCTCTTAGGGGAGGGTAACCCATACAAGTGAATTAACCGCAGAGGTCTTAGTACACATGGAGTGGGAAGAAAAAAGTTATCCCCTGGAAGACAACTACAGACAATTGTATCAGCTATTTAGAAATCATATCAGCATATCTTATTTGCTGTGGAAACTTTAGGTAACATTTTAAAACGAATTCATTTCTTTTTATTATGGAAAATGTCAAACATAAACATGAGTAGATGTGGTAGGTAAGAAAAGCATAATGGACTCTCATGTACACTGTGGTGGATGCACTCCGGGGTGTCCCTCACCCTAGGGTTCATGCCCTGTGTACTCCTCTCCCTTTGAGTGTGTGCAAAACATGCTTTCTGGCCAACAGAATGTTCACATTTGAAGTTGCCCCCGTGGGATTGCTTTATGTTATATAAAATTCTGTCTTGCTGGAGACTCACTCTGGGGACTCTCCTTGCAGGCCTGACAAAATAAGTGGCTGTGCTCGGAAAGCCCAAGTGACAATGAAGTCCAGGTAACCTCTAGGAATTGCAGGTTCCCTCTTGGAGCTGAGGACAGTCTCCAGTCTCCAGCCAGCAAGAAGCCAGGGCCCTCGGTCCTACTGCTGCAAGGAAAGGAATTTTGCCTGTGCCCGGAGTCAGAGTGGAAGCCAGTTCTTCTCCAGTGAATGTGAACGCAGCCTGGCCAGCCCCTTGATGGCAGGCGTGAGACCCTAAGTGGGGGACTGAGTGTACCTGGACACCTGATCCATAAAAACTGTGAGAAAAATCTGTCTTGTTTTAAGGCCACTACGTTTGTGGCAATTTGCAGCAATAAATAATTAAGTACAAGTACATGTCACCCAAGGTCAACTATTTTCAACAGTTTCCAATTGTTTCATTTATACCTCCATGTCTGGAGCTGGGTGGGTGGGAGGAGGGGAGTGGATGGGCTGGTGTGTTTTAAAGCACATTTCAGACTTTATATTATTTCGCTGGCAGATACTTTAGTACATATCTCTAACAGACAAGGAAGGACTTTTTAAAAGCATAACCATAATGCCAGAAAAATTCGGTTTCATTGAGAATAAGAGTGGGAGTCTTTTTTAATGCCATCAAATCAATGGATCTATTATATTAATTGGACACCCACAGAAAAGGTGCTTGCAATAAACAGAATAAGAATAATACCCCGTTGATCTCATTAGCTAAAGGACAGGAAAGCATATGAGAGCTTTCACTTGAAATGTATGAAGCTTTCCAGTTGGTTTTTTAAAACTAGTCCAGCCACAAATACTTAATTGTCCCTGTAATATGCTTGTCTCTCATACAATATCTAAAATAATTAAAACCCAATTATTATCGTGTGCTTAAGATCCATTCTCCCTAGACTCTAACCGGCTTTGGAATGGACCCCTGTAAATTTCACTTGTATTCAAAACTCCTTGTAATTGCATGTCATACTCTAATTGCTATTCCCATCACTTTTTCCTTACCACAGCTCCTCCCAACTGGCCCTCTTGGATAAGCCAATCTCATCCCCCTTCGACACTCCTCACTGAGGCACGCTTTGTAAGGGACATACTTAGGGCTCTGGGTTCGATGCCATCTCTACTACTTGGGAGCTTTGTGATGTTTGGCCAGTAGTTAAGCTTTCTCTAAGCTGGATACAATAATGCCTCACCGGGTTCCGGCGAAGATTAGACAAAGAACATGTGTAACGTGCAAACTGCCCAGTACAGAGAAGGCACCGTTCCCCACAACCCCCTTTGTTGGTTCCCATCTCCCACCACCTAGCCCCAGAACGCCCAGCACCACGCCTCTCCTGCCCTTGTCGCGGGGGATGCAGGGACTTGTAGTTTCTAAGGCCCCGAGTCGTGCTTCTCCTCGGCGCAGGCCTGCGGGCGGAAGAACTACACATCCCAGTGGGCTGTGAAAGGAAAGTGGGGCTCGGGAAATTGAGCATCCCTGCCCAGCTGCCTTCGTTTTCTGCGGCCCCGGGGCTATGCCCACCTCTGCGGGGGCTCGGACCCGCGGCAACGCCTGGGAGGGCGCGAGCGAGCAGAAGCCCCAGGCTCCGGCCGTCCCAGGGCCGCGCCCGCAGCTCCTCCTGGGCTGTCGGGTGGGAAGGGGGGAGGCGCAGGCGGGAGAGGAGAAGCACGCGACCCCTCCGCTGCCGAGGGGGCTCCACGGGGGAATGGAGGGAGAAATAAAGCGAGCAGCTGTAAACGTCCGTGGGGAGAAGTGGAGACCGAAAGAGCTGGGCGGCAGCAACCCAAAACCTGGCCTCCAAGGGCTTATACTCCGGGAGGGAGGCCGGGGCCGGAGGGGACCCTGACCGCTTCCTCTGCCCTTCTTTCTCGGCCCGGAAGCCGGCCGAGCCGGGCCCCGAGACCCTCGCCCGCAGCCCGGTCCCGAAGTCAGGCCGGCCTAGGGCCGCCCCACCCCATCCTGGCACCCGGCACCCCCAGCCCATTTCTCGGGCATCACCAGAGTCCCCGGGCGACGCGACCACGCGCCCAGCTGGGGAGGAGGAAGAAGGGAGGCGCAGGCCGGGGAGGGTCACCTCCGCGCCGCGGCTCCTCAGGTCCCGGGGAGTCGCCAGGAGTGGCTTGCCGGTGGCCGTGGGAATGAGCGTGTCCCGAGGCGGCAGCTGCTGCGCGGGATAAACCCGGAAGAAGCCGCGAGACGGACTGAAGTCGGCCAGGAGCGCACTGCGCGGCGGGGCCGCGGGCGCCCGACCCCATCCCTACTTGGGCGATGCCACAGGGAGCCCCGCGCCTTCCACACCCCAGGGCGCCCGCCCGAGGGGGCTGGGGCTGGAATCTCGCTGCGCCGGTGCCCTGGCTTCGCGGGCGAGGAGGAGGAGGAGCAGGAGGAGGAGCCGCGGGTGAGGCGCGAGGCCACCGCCCACCCGGCCCGGAGGAGGCGGACCCACTCGGAGCGCCGCGCGCGCGCCGGGCTGAGCCTTGCAAACAAGTGTCTGTGCTGTGTCCCCGCGGCCCTCCTCGCGCCGGGGCCGCTTCCTCCGGGTAGGAGGGAGCAAGGGAGCCCTCGCCGCGCGGCCCGCGAGCCGCCGCCGCCCTCGGCCCGCGCATCCCCGCGCGGGGGCCGCGGATTCGACTAGGCTGCCAGGCGCAGCGACACCGGGTCGCGGTGCGAGCGGCGCCCCGGCTCTCGCCGAGAGGCTCCTGACAGAAAAACGTGCGTGGTTGTCCCCACCCCTGGGAGGGGTTGCCGGTGCCGCGCGCGGCCGCCCAGTCGCCAGCGCTCTCTCCTGGGAGGATCCGCTGCCGGAGGAAGGAGTGGACCCAACCTGGCCGCGCCGCAGAAGTGGCTCCCGAGGAAGCCGGCGCCGGGGCCGCCGCCTCGTGTCCCCTCGGGGCGCAGTGCTCGGGGGTCGGCGGGCCAGAGCCGAGGCGCGGCCGGGGAGCCGGGGGCTGCGGGGCCGAGCGGGCAGCCGCGCGAGGGGGCGGGCGCTCGGCGACCCGGGGGCCGGCCGGGCTGAGCCCCGCGCCCCGGGACGCGGGCTGGAAGCGACGGAGGAGTGCTGCCGCGGGCTGCGGACCAGCGCCGTCCCCTCACGGAGCGGGGATTCTGCTATGACAGTTGGGCTCCCCGGAGGGTTAACCTGGGTGTCCTCGGCAAAGTTGTCGCCGAGCCGGGAGCCCGTGTAGGGGCCGCGGCGCCGCGGCTCGGGGGGCGGCCGGGCGGCCGGCGGCGGTCGTGGCTCGGCGGGGCCCGCGCGGCCGGGGGGCTCCTGGGGGTGTGCGCCCCCAGCCGGCTGCCCTCGTGGATGCCTCCCGGCGGCGGCGGGCCCATGAAAGACTGCGAGTACAGCCAGATCAGCACCCACAGCTCCTCCCCCATGGAGTCGCCCCACAAGAAGAAGAAAATCGCGGCCCGGAGGAAATGGGAGGTGTTCCCGGGAAGAAACAAGTTCTTCTGTAACGGGAGGATCATGATGGCCCGGCAGACGGGCGTCTTCTACCTGACGCTCGTCCTCATCCTGGTCACTAGCGGACTCTTCTTCGCCTTCGAGTAAGTGGTGGCGACCGCTCCCCCGACGCCGCACTCCCCTGGTCTCCCCTGTCCCCCGCCCCTCCTCGGGCTGCTTTCGTTTTCTAGAAGTCTTATCTACTGTAAATTGTTATATAATGCCAGTCTGCGCTCCCTCTTTTTTCTTTTAAAGGTCTGATTGCTTTTGGGCCCCCGGAAAGAACGCCGTTCTGGGCTGGGCTTCTGGGAGCAGGGAGGGAAGGGGTCCACTTGCAAGGGGGGCCAGGCCTTGCCAATCCAGGTGGCGGATGGGACCCAGCAGGTGGGGCCGCCGGTCCCTGATCCTTGGGGCGCTCTCTACCGAGTTTGGGGACCCAGCAAATCAGCCCAGATGTAGCCTGCCGTGGGAAGGTGGGGTGCGATAGATTCCTAAGTCAGGGATACATGGAACTGACTTTTTCCCCCTTGCTGACAACATATAGGGCATCTTCTTAAGCTCAGTTGACTGAATCTCCCATGTAACTTCGACGAATAATTGAGGAATCTTGGCTATTTCAGGTTTCAAAGTGTCGGCTGCCTAGTGTGCCCTGGATAGATCATTGCATTCTCCAGCCTCCTACATGCTCACTCTGGATTAACAATTTCTTATTTGCCATGAGGTTTCTAAACTCTTCACTTTCAAAAAGGTTGCAATAAAAGGTGTCCAAAACAAACAATTTGGGAACATGTGAAAGGAGACCTTAGGTCTGTTAAGGAAGAGGATGACACTACGTGACAACTTCCGATTCCAGAAACAGTCTGGACTTCAGGGATTATATCTGGGGGGATAAAAAGCGCATGCAAGTCTTCACCGTTTTCAGGAAAATCAAATTGGCCAGTAGCAACTGTCCTCCTGCCAACTAATGAAAGGTCTTCTTATTTATTAGCAGTGATTAGATAAAGCAGTTAAACCACATTCCAATCAATTTTGGTTGCTTTTTTTGCATCCAACATTTGGAATGCAACTCCTTATGTAATTTCTGGTATCCTATGTTCAATGAAAGGTGGAGTTACTTTTTTCCCCTCAGAATTTAAAGAAAGCAATATATTTATAGGGAGCTCTTCTTTGGGCTTCCCAAATCCTGGTTATTATTGGGCTTGATACTCCTTCAGTCTCCGCCTCCTCCTGTTGGGTAGGCTCAATTAAAACCTTTTGAATTTATTTACTTTTGTTTCTGATTAGGATTAATAGGCTCTAATTTTGTGCCTGGCTTTTGCTCTTCCAAATGCTGTCTCAATTGGAAATGAATGATCTCTTGACAACGTAATACTTGTCGCTCAAAGCCCTCTGACTCTCAGGAGAAACGTTTTGTATCTGGACACTGTGCGCTGATTAGCAGTTTTAAGAGGACTGAGTTAGACCAGGCGATGAGAAGGATCTCTGATTTAAGCGAATTCCCCTTCCCCAGTCCTTCTCACACACAACTCCTCTTCCCCATTTCCGATGGTATGTGCAGTTCCCGGGTCCCCCTTGATGTTTAGGTTCTGTGTCTGTTTGACACTAGTAGGTAGAGTCAGTGGGGAGACCTGTGGACGGGAGGGGAAGGGTGTGAACAGGCATTCAGAGTGGCAGGGAGACACACTCTACTCATGCTGCTGTTGCTCCCATGGGCCCCCATTGAGAGCAGCCTCTTGTCCTTACAGACCTTGGAAACTGGAAGAAGGGGCATAGAGGTTCCCCATGAGTTTACGTTATCTGTTAGGATGAACACTGGCACTGGAAGCGTGATGCCATGTGGTTTAACAGAAATGCCATCTCTCTAATGGTGAATTTAGTTACAGGTGGTCCTCTAGTTGCAGAGTATTAACTGTGTTCCTACAGTTTTTTAAAAAAAATCTTGAACAGATCCAAATTGGCACTTTTGCTCTTTTTAGCGATTTTAACTGTGGAGAAAATGGGTTAATTTTGTGATTCTGTTGCAGAGCTTCAGCCACAAGTGTGCTCCATGGAGGATGATGAATATTTCATTTTCTGTATATACCCAAGTCCCCACTGTATGCTTAGGGATCCCCCCAGTTATTACTTAACATCTTTTATTTTCTTCATTCAAACATAGCTTCTAACCAAACCATCATAAATTCATTTTCGTTTCTTGATCTCTGCGTGTGTTTTTTCAAGAGTTCCCAAAAGTCCTCACTAGCAGGTTGTTAAGGATCTTTCTCTGTGTCAGTGTTATGTTAACTGATGACTGTAGGAATAAATGTGTGCGCCGGGATTTTATTAGCTGCTATTTGCAGCATCTTTTTTATATCAGCTCTGTGGGAGCGTATGTGTGTATATGTGTGTGTGTTTGCTCTCCATGGTTGTTGCTTCAACTAGGCAATTTGACATTTCAAGAAAACAAGAGGCCCATCCTAGTATGATGCCTCTGTTTGGAAAAATCAGAGGCTATTCGAGCTACAGAATATTATGGTTTAGCTGAGAATATTTGTCACTGTATTGCTTTCAAATTCTTTATTCATAAATTAAATAACCAATTTGACCAAATTAATTTGCTAGAGACCAAAGAACAAGTTAACCCCATACAGAGGAAGAAAATACCAACAGGCCAATCCCTAAGCGAGATCCAGAGGAAATGCCAGTACTGCCTGCCCCTGGCCTGCCTTTCTCCTGCCTTCCTCTAGTTATGTGGTCCTCTATTTTGATTGTTTAATTTCATGTCTAGATAGCTTTTTTAAAAATTTATTTTTAATTTTTTATAGAGATGGAGTCTGCCTATGTTCCCCAGGCTGGTCTTGAACTTCTGGCCTCAAGTGATCCTCCCGCCTTGGCCTCCCAAAGTGCTGGGATTATAGGTGTGAGCCACTGCACCTGGCCATCATGTCTAGATAGCTTTTTATTGGAGACAGAGTCTCACTGTGTTGTCCAGGCTGGAGTGCAGTGGCACAATCATGGCTCACTGTAGCCTTGACCGCCGAGGCTCAAGCAATCCTCCCTTCTCAGTCTCCTTAGTAACTGGAACTGTAGGCATGCACCACCACACCCAGCCAAGTTTTGTATTTTTTGTAGAGACATAGGGGTCTCACTATGTTGCTCACTATGATCCTGGGCTCAAGCGATCTCCTGCTTTGGCCTCCCAAAGTGCTGAGATTATAGGCATGAGCCACCGCACCTGGCTATCATGTCTAGATAGCTTTTAATATTAGTAAACTTCATTGTCAAACATTAGAATTGCGTTTCCCCAGTTACACAAAAGCAAATAAAATGTGTGACAAAAAGAGTGAATAACTTAGTCATTTAGTTTTAGCCCTCCCCTGTCTGCAATTCTTCTCTCATCCCAGCTCTCATTCCTGACCTTGAACAGATGGACAAGAAAGTTTGTCCAAGAGAAATGAACTTACTAGAACTCAGCAACAGGTGTTGATACAGTCTTTAGCCCCTGGAGAAAGGCAGGGTAGAAATGATTATTCCCACATCAAAGACGAAGTGACAGAGGCTTGGTGAGGTTAGTCACCTAGGGTTGCACAGCTAATTAGTGGGAAGGCTTCTGGCTGCAAAGCCAGTGCTCTTTCTGACTAATTGTGCTGCTCCTCGTTCAAGTCTAGGGTACTGGTTAAAGGCATGGATTTTGGAAGGACAGACCCTAAGATTATTACTAGCACTATAACCCTGGGCAAATGATTGGTCTTTTTTAAGCCTTAGTTTCCCAATCTGTAAACTGAGATTAATAATAATCTACCTTTAAATGATGGGAAGATTAAATAGAAAATGTATACTTTGCACAGTATACAGTATAGTATATACAGTACAGTATACGGTATACTGTGTACCAGTGTTTGGCACATAGCAAGGGCTCAATAAATGGTTCATATTGTTAGAGTAAATCTTAGAAGTAGGCCCCCAAGGACTCTGGTCACCCTTTTCTGAGAGCATTTTGAGGAAGGGAACATGTAGGTTAAGAAGCAACTGTGACTGTGAAAAAGCTCACGACTGTGCAGTCCGCTATTAAAGTAAAAACCTGGCCGGGCACAGTGGTTCACGCCTTTAATCCTAGCACTTTGGGAGGCCGAGGCAGGAGGATCACTTGAGCCCAAGAGTTCGAGACCAGCCTGGGCAACATAGTGAGACCCCATCTCTAAGTTTTTAAATAAAAATTTAAAAATATACAAATAAAATAAGCACCTTTGTGTGAGTCCAGGGAACCTCTGTGAAGCTGTGGCTTTGCTGTTACCCATTCAGAATGGGAGTCCTTCAGGGATGTCTGGGGACCTGTCCTTATCCAGACTGGATTTCATTTTTGTTTTTGAAGCCACCATCCCAGAACAGTGAAGACAGTACAGAAAGCTACTAGAAGCAACCAGATGCAATCCTGTACTCTTTCTCAAGCAAGGAGGGACTGCTTATCTGTTGGCATCTTTATGCACTGTGTGGAGTACTGATGAAAAGTGACAGCATTTCATAGCTGTGTTTAGGGGAGGTGGGGAGCCGACTGCAGTGCTATCCAGACAGCTCACCCTCTTTGCAGCTATTAAGAGTCTCATCAAGGCTGTCTATGCGATGTCGTCATTCTCACATTCCCAGAAGTAGAATTTGAAAAGATCAGTGAACATTAACAATTTCTTCTTCTCCCTGACATATGCACACATACAGCCTGCTTTTGTTTACAGTTGTAATTTTTAAAATAAAAAATCTTTGGTCCTGAAATATTAAACTTTCATAGTCTTGCTCACTGGGGCAGAATGAAGGAAACAAACTGAGAGGCTGGGTGAGGTTTGTGTTTTCAGCAGCATCATATGAGGTGAGGAATGTCTGCTTAGATCTGGGGCTTGACTGGGTCTCCGCATTCTACACTGCCACCACAGACAAGTTTGGAGGTGTTCCTGGGGCTCAGACACTTGAAAACGTGGGGACATTCTCAAATTTCTCATCACTATAAGTCCATTGAAGGGTTTTTAAAAAATCTTTCTTTCTCTCTTTTCCTCCCTCCTTCCTTCCCTTCTTCTTTTTACATTTAGCTAATTCCTCTGAAAAAAAAAAACAGTGAATAATTGGAAGTCAGTAGAACTGGGATCATGTTTGCCTTGAAGATGGAACTTGGGGCTATCCCCTGCAAATAAAAGTGTCATTTCCAAGAACGACGTCTCTGTTATAGATGGGTAACTTATTTTCTAGTAGAGGGTGCTGCCTTTATAATATATAATAACCCCATATTTTCTTACCACCCCCTGGCCATGCAGAACTGCATCAACCTCTCCACCATCTCAGAAAATATCTGCATAGGGTCTCATCGGTTTTTTTCTAAGTGCTGTGCCTCATAGAACACCATGGGGTTGATACAGACA
This sequence comes from Homo sapiens, assembly GCF_000001405.40. Lineage (NCBI taxonomy): Eukaryota > Metazoa > Chordata > Mammalia > Primates > Hominidae > Homo > Homo sapiens. The sequence continues at coordinate 157,387,547 of NC_000006.12, forward strand.
ATACGTGACCCTCAGGACCTTACCAGAGGACAGTGCCTAGGAACATAGTACATGGAGCCAAGGATGTTTATAACCCACTGTGGTTCCACAAGAACTTTAGGTGACTTGAAAACCTTATGATCCATTGACATGAAAGCACTAACCCATTCATTTGTGTACATGATCAACACATGTCAGTTCCTTGAGGATGGGGACTCGCCTTGTTCACTGCTGTATCCCCAGGGCTTAGAATAGTACCTGGTCTATAATAGCAAGCTCCCAGTAAATATCTGCTGTTTAATGAAGTAATGGTAATTTTGAAACACTTTGGAAAATACCTTTCTTGTGCTTTAGTTTTTGCATTTTGTAAACCTCTGTACATTAATAAAAATTTATGATTAATAATGTCTTGTAGAACACATTTGCCTCAGAAACTTTGATTATTTGATGTAATTCTTCTGAATTCAAGTGTGTTAATTAAAGCAGAAGAAAAAGCTTTTCTTAATTATTTAGAAAACTAGTGATAACATTCGGATGTTCTCTTGGCTAACCAAGACTTCTTTCTAGTATTTATTTTTGAACTAAATGCTTTAAGCAAATAAAGCACTCTGGGATATATTTGAATGTTACCTAACAACCACTGGCACCTAGAATAATTTCTCATTTTATAGACTTTTCACTTTGGACACTTGAATTTTTCTAATAAAACTCTGAAGGATACTATTGACTACACATGTTTTATTGTGTTCCCTTTTAGCTAGTAGGAAGTGATACTAAATTGTGCAGAAAGGACTCCTCTAGGTTCCTATAATAAGATAGTGATGGTTAATTATTTAATGGGCCATATCTGCATATCCTGGAGATTTTTTTTTCTTTTTCAGTACAGTGTTGCACATAATTTATTCATGGCAGAGTTATTATGTCTTAGCAAGAAAATTTAAATTAAGAGTTGCAAGGAAGTGCATTTGTTATTTTATAGGTGAGGTTGTTAGGAAAGTGAAAAACAGTGGTGATCAATAGATACTTAATTAGTTACATCCAGGAATTTGGATCTAATAAAATGTCAGTTCATTCAGATAAGGGTTGGGGACTAACCTAATGCTTTTGTTCAGTTCATCACTAAATATGAAGGTTAGTCCCATTTCAAACTTATTTTTATAAACTGGATGATCTTCTACCTCCCCAATTTCCATCTTTTAAAAAATGTAATGTGAGATTAATACAGAAGATGATATGTAACATTTGCAAGTTTTGAAGTAAAATACTATAAAAAGCACCCATGAAACTACCACCCAACCCAAGAAGCACATCACATCAATGCTTTGAGTCTATTCGGTCCTCTCTCTTGGCCCAGTCTCATCTTCCTGCCCATCCCTGAGGTCGTCACAGTCTGAGCTTGGTAATTATCAGCACCTTGCTTTGTCTTCTCTCAGGGATTTTGAGTGTGTGTATTCCCAAACAATACGTTGTTTAGTTTGGTTTATTTTTCTTTACAAATATGGTATCATGTATCATGCCATATGTAGTCTTTTAAAAAATGCTAACATTGATTTAATATGGATTTAACATAAGATAGCATCATAGCATAGTACTTAAAGCAGTCTATTCATGAATCCATGTAATTCTGCAGATGGCCTAACTTTTATTTTGAAATGATTTCAAACTTCCAGAAAGGTTGCAAGACTAAAGAACTCTGTATACTCTCCATTCAGATTCATCAATTGTTAACATATTTCTGCAATTATTTCTGTCTTTTTCTCTCTCTTCCTCAATCTTGCGATTAATAGTTTCCCCCTCAGACCATTGAAGAGTAAGTTGCAGATATTATGTTCCTTTACATCCAAATACTTCTGCATGTAATTTTTTAAGAAAAAGGATGTTCTCATATAAATACAGTAATGGCATCAGTTTTAGGAAATCTAACATGGATGCAACAGTCCGTATTCAGATTTTGCCATTTGTCCCAATATTGTTGGGTGTATCATCATGGTATTTGTTTTCTATTTAACTAATGTGTATTTTGTTTCTCTTTTCCACCTTTTGGCTTCTTTTAGATGAATTGCATATTTTTAGTATTTCCTTTTATCTTTAACAAAGTCTTAGGCTATGTTTCTTTGTGCTATTTTTATTAATTGCTTAAGAGATTACAATGTGCATTTTTAACCAATTACAGTCTATCTCCAAATAATAGTATTATTCTTCACAAATAATGCAAGAAATAGAAAACATAATTCCTCTTACTCCTTCCACCCTTTGTACCCACTGTCATATATTTTACATCCATATATGCTATAAAGCCAGTAATGTTATTATTTTTAAACAATCAATAGCTTTTAAAAGAAAAATAAATTTATGTAAAATAAACATATTTTAAAACACATATACACACGTATAAGATATAAAACATATATATGTATGTACATATATTAAATAGAGATAATTTTAAATGGACTTTTATATTTATCTTCATGTATTTACCGTTTCTGGTACTCTTCATTTCTTCTAATTATATCATTTTCCGTTGGCTTAAATTATTATCAGCATTTCTTATATGCAAGTCTGCTGGTGACAAATTATCTTGGTTTTTGCTTTTTCTGAAAAAGTTCATTTTTGTCTTCATTTTAAGAGCATATTTTTACTAGATGTAGAATTCTAGGTTGATAGTCTTTTTCCTATCAGACCTTTGATGATATTAGCCCATGGTCTTCTGATCTGTTGTTTCTGATGAGACCTTAGTTGTTATTTTTTTTAGCATTTCCCCCCATATGTCATATGCGATATTTCTCCAGCTGATTTTCTCTTTATCTTTTGTTGTCAGTAGTTGGAATATGATAACATGCCTATGTATGGTTTTCTTTACATTTATCCCGCTTGGGGTTTGCCGAGCTTCTTGGATCTGTGGATTGATATCTTTCATCAGTTTTGGAAATTTTTTCATTCTTTTTTCAAATATTTCTTCAGTACCTCTTTTCTTTCCTGGAACTCCAGTTAATTATATATGACATCATTTTATATAGTCCCATACTTTTTAGATACTTTATTCCATGTTTTTGTCAATTCTTTTCTTTTCCTCTTTGTGTTTTAGTTTGGATAATTCCTGTCGGGTTGTCTTCAAGTTAATATTTCTATGTTAAGCCAATTTTGATATCTAATTTTTGATATCTTTTTTTTATTTTGAACATTTCTACACTTAAAAAATAGTTTTTAAGGAGTCTGCTTTATTTTGCTGAAATCCTCCATCTGTTCATGGTTGTGTTAATATTTTCTGCTAGATCCTTTCACATGTTTATTAATCATCCTTTAATAATTCCAACATCTACATCATCTCTGAATCTGTTTCTTTGGACTGTTTCTTCTCTTGATTATGGGTTATATTTTCTTTCTTCCTTCATGCCTTGTAATTTTTTTTATTGCATGCCAGACATTGTATGTAAGAGAATTATAAAGTCTATAGTAATTTAAATTCTTTTTTCAGGCCACTAGTGTGTGTGAGTCAATCTAGTTTGTAATGGAAACAGGTTTGGGCCTTGGGGAAGCTTCAGTTAGATTCATTTTTATCACTGGCTTCAAATGTTTTGAAGGCACAATCAGGACTTCCCCCTTAGCAGGGCTTGAAATCTGAGCCCTGGAAAAACTCTGGAGGTTTTTAAATGCTTCACAGTCCAGGACCAGCTTACCAAACAGTGGAAGATTTCTGTTTTTCAGCCTGACTGCCGGCTTTTTGGGTCACTGGGGAGTTGTCTTTGTGTCAGTCTTGCACCAAGTTTCTGTACCTCAAGAAATCTTCCCTGTACAGCTGCTGTGCCCCAGCTTTTGGAGGGCTACTGCAGTGGTCCGAGTGAAGGCCTGGAGTACCTCAGAATGACTTTCTCAGTTTTTAGATTCTGACCCTTTTATACCATACCCTGAAGCTAAGTCCTGTAGGCTTCAGAGAAGATGTCTCTCTAGTCTCCTGCCCTACCCCCAGCCTTTGGTGTAGTTTTGTTGTGTTTTTGGTAAAGTTCATTTGGTAAAGAAAGAGTTGGCTGGTGGCTAGGCCTCCTTGGAATCATAATTCATATGGCAGTCCACATATGGCCATTAATGTGGGTTAAAAATTTATTTGATTTCTCCTCACTCCTGTTTATGGTGGATTCCTGTTCTTCCTGCTGCTTTGCTAGGGAAGGAAGCGGCTATTGGCCTTTTTTCTCTTGGGAAGGACTTGATACATTTAGGCTTCTTTGCATTCTCAGCTCCCTGACAGATTTTTTTCAGACTATGCTTTTGTAGCTAATCTGGCTTGTTCTCATTGTTAGAGTGGGAGTGATTGCTCTCACAACTTTCAACTTGTGATTGTTAAAAACTTAATACTGTATTTCTCGGATTCATTTATGTTTTTGCATATATATGTAATTCATTTTTACTGCTGTAGGATTTGATTTGTGTAAATATGCCCAGTTTATTCGTCTCTTTTTAATCTTTCTTTCTTTGACTTCTTACTGATTCTTGGCATTTGCTGTCATTTTGTATGTAATGCGGAATCTGCAAGACTTCCATTTTACAGATTTTGATCCTCTTAAATCTGTCCTGCCAATGACTATGACATCTAGACCCAAATGCTTAGGTCTGGATAAGTGAGAGAGAATTTAGCATGGGATTCATTGGCTTTTATGTGATATTAAAATATTTATTACAATGATAAATCCTAGCTATCAACTAATCATTGAAGTTATATACAATTAAGAGCATGGTTTATAGAAACATATATCCTTATGATGAGTGAGGTACTTTATCATAGATCTTCATCTCCTAGCTTAATTTGATGCTGATTTTTCTTGATTTTAAAAGAAAGTTAATTTTTTTTCTTTTTCTTTATCCTTTGTAATACTTTGTGCTTTGAAGCTCTTCTCTGATCTCATACCTAATGTGTATACAGCCCCCCGTGTGTTGGGGGGTTGTCTCTTAGACCGTATTCTTCCTCTCTGTGTCATGTGGCCAGCTTTCTTTGGAAGCCTTGATAGCAAGGGTTTCTGATTGAACCAGCCAGGCCTCTGCTCTTGTAGACTTTCTAGTCTTCGGTGCTTACCTGAGAGAAAAAATTGTTTCCTCTGCCATGACTGGATCCATAATTAAGAGAAAGATGTGTGTGTGTGTGTGTGTGTGTGTGTGTTCATCCCCCTTGACTCCAATCCTTCTATCTGTAGAAGTTAGCTGATCTTTAATTTAGGTCTGTTTTTGCCTTTACCTCCTTGTCACTTCATAGCTGGAGCTAACATACCATTACAGTAGACCTCCCTGTCTCCCTCTAGAGACTTTGGAGGTAGACTTGCTTTCAACTGCAATGGCACTTTTTTTATTTTATAACAATTTTTTTTAATTATTTTTTTTGAGATGGAGTTGCCCAGGCTGTTGTTGCCCAGGCTGGAGTGCAATGGCGCCATCTCGGCTCACCACAACCTCTGCCTCCCGTGTTCAAGCAATTGTCCTGCCTCAGCCTCTCGAGTAGCTGGGATTATAGGCGTGCACCATCACACCCAGCTAATTTTGTATTTTTAGTAGAGACAGGGTTTCTCCATGTTGGTCAGGCTGGTCTTGAACTCCCACCCTCAGGTGATTCGCCTGCCTCGGCCTCTCAAAGTGCTGGAATTACAGGCGTGAGCCACCGCACCCAGCCTATTTTAGAACAACTTAAGCACACTTTAGCACACTATTTAAAAACAGCAGTATAATCATTTCTGTACATCTTCAAACTAGATTTTAAAAACTGCTGACTTCCATGCTGTTGAGAGCCATGGGAATGAGGTGGGGCCCAGCAAGGCAGCTGATAGAGGAGGGTGTAGCCAACGGCCCTGCCTGTGACTTGCCCTGAGATAATCTTATCAGCGGAGGAATGGCGATCTAACCCACTTGGGAAGGAATTTGAGCTCAATAAGTCTGCTATCTTTTGGTGGTTTTCAGGCGTGGCTCATGAATACAAGGCAACAGCTTATTTTAACACTAAATACCAGCGTCTATTGGAGATGTTACTTCTACTTGCTGAGAAATGATTGCCCTTCTTGTACTGATCATAGAAATAAGTCTCTAAAATGTGTGTTCCTGGCAACTTCCTTGACATAATCTGGTATTTTTCTCAGTCTTCACTTTTCCCTTTCTCTCATAAGATCTCTCCTAAGTGCACCATCTCTGGTGGTATAAGATACTGTGTCTACTTTTTCTTGTTTTGAAACTTTTTCTTCCTTTAACTTCTAGGATGTTCCTCTCCCACTTACCTTTAATTATTTCCTATTCTCCTGCATCTTGTATCTCTTCTTTCTTTCTTGCCTTTAAGTAACTTTGTTCCTCTCTCTCCTGCCTGTCTTAACTTTCCTAAGCAAGATTGCACGGTCATGGTGGTTGCTCTGGCCTTTGCAAATGTGACCTTCATCTCTGTGTCTCTGTCCCCTGCTTAGAGCACCTGCCCCCTGACCTGGCATTTCCTCTTGCCTGTAGAGATCTCTGCCGAGGTGTCCTCTGACTCCCAGAAAGCAAGTCATTGAAAGCTGAATGGCCTGCAGTTTCTTCTCAATAGACAGTCTCAGGGCCCCACCACTCTCAGGAAAGAACATTTCCTGGGTTGCAGAACTGTGGCCTGGGAACATTCTCACTTCCACCCTTCCCGCCTACCCACCGCCATCAGGCTGTACGCCTCCTTTCCTTCCTTGTCTCTTAGACTGCATTCTTCCTCTCTGTGTCTGTACTGAAGGTTCTGGTTCACAGTCATTTCACGGATTCTTTGACACTTTTCCCATGAAAAGGTGGAGTCTGATTCCTCTCCTCTGGAATATGGGCCAGCCCACATATGAAGGACAGAATGTGTCAGAAATGATGCTGTGTGATTTCCAAGGTGAGGTTAGAAAACATGGCAAGGTTTCCACCTGCTTCTCTCTCTCTCTCTCACTTGGGACGTGCACCTTTGGAGCCCTGAGCTGCCGTACAAGAAGTCTAGCTCCCTGGACACCCCATAATACAGAGGCCATGTAGAGGGGTTTAGACCACATAGCAATAGAGGTGACAGTGGAACCCCAGCTGAGTAAATGAACCTTCACGTGCTTTGACTCCCCCACCTCCATGACCCCACCCCACACTCCCACTTTTTTGAGCCATCCCAGTGAAAGCCAAATGGAGCAGATATGAGCAGTTCCTGCGGCGCTCTGCCTAAATTGTAGAGTGATGGCCAAAATAACATCATCGTCGTCTTAACCCACTATATCTTGGGGCACTTTATTATACAGCCACAGTAACTGGAAAACTTAACTGCCAGAACGTCTCAAATGAAGTGTTGGGACTGGTTTGGGGCATGCAGCGATTCATGTGTGACCAACAACACTAAAGTTACAGGGCTGAAGTTTGAGAATTTTAAAAAAATGATGGTAAATTCAGAGTCAGCTCTTCCCACTCCCTTCCATTCCAGAATGCTTCTTTGAGCAGGAGAGACAGGGGTTGCAGCCAGTTCGTGCACCCATAATTTTGCCTAATCCCAGCACTTGCTTGGCAGAAGCGGCCCTTCATCTCGTGTGCCCTGGTGGGAAAGTAGTGAGTACTGACAGTTTAGACCCTCACCAGCCCACACCTGGATGGTGTTGCCAGCTTTCTTCCTCACTCCTTGTCTCTATTTTTATTTTTATTTATTTTTTTAAGATAAGGTCTTGCTCTGTCACCCAGGCTAGAATGTAGTGGCATGATCATAGCTTACCACAGCCGTGACCTGCTGGGCTCAAGCAATCCTCCCACCTCAGCCTCTGGAGTAGCTGGAACTGCAGGCACACACCACCACACCTAGCTAATTTTTTTTTTTTTTTTTTAGTAGAGATGGGGTCTCACTATGTTGCCCAGGCTGGTCTCGAATTCCTGAGCTCAAGTGATCCTTCCACTTCGGCCTCCCAAAGTGCTGAGATTACAGGTGTGAGCCACCACACCTAGCCTTTCCGTCTCTATTGTTCCTTCACTCTAGCCTTAAAAATCCCAAGTTCCGCCGGGCGCGGTGGCTCATGGCTGTAATCCTAGCACTTTGGGAGGCCAAGGCCGGCGGATCAGGAGGTCAGAAGATCGAGACCATCCTGGCCAACATGGTGAAACCCTGTCTCTACTAAAATACAAAAAATTAGCCGGACGTGGTGGCACACGCCTGTAGTCCCAGATACTCGGAAGGCTGAGGCAGGGGAATCACTTGAACCTGGGAGGCGGAGGTTTCAGTGAGCTGAGATTATGCCACTGCACTCCAGCCTGGTGACAGAGCAAGACTCCATCTCAAAAAAAAAAAAAAAAATCCCAAGTTTCTTACTGTACTGTGTCTGTTACATATAGTGATAGACTCATATGCCTATTGGGAAACTAAATCCGTGCAAAGCTGTATAAAATCGGTACTTGAGGCCTTTCTATTTTTCTCATAATTTATTAAGAGCAACAGATGAGAGTCTCTGTTCCCTAAGATCTCAGTGTATAGCAGTCCAGTTGATTTAGGTCTGCTTTTGCCTTTACCTGCTTGTCCCTTCATAGCTGGAGCTAACATACCATTAGAGTAGACCTCCCTGTCTCCCTCTAGATATAGAAACACAACTCTCATAGGGACACCTTTTTGACACTGTCATGTACCAGGATGTTCACCCCTCCCTGGGTTAGTGAGAAGACCAGGGGCCTGCTTCACCTGCCGACCGTGCTGTTGACATACCGAGGCCTTTCCAGAAATAGCCTATGGTGGCCTCATGGTCTGCAGAGACTTGCTGTCCCACAAGGGGACAGCTAGGCAAGTAATGACTCCTAGCAAGCTGATCTTTCCAGTGAGCCTCAGATTTATATAATCAAAGCAATTTATCATCTTGAATGCTCCTATTTTGGGGTCTTTTAATGCCATGAGTTTCCCATACACACATTCTTGATGGCAGATAAGGGCATTTTTGAACATAAAAGCCAAAGTCAAGTTAAATTCTGCAGCTATATATGGTCTATTTGTCTTTTTAAGCAGGAAGAAGAATTCTTGACTTAAATTATCTCACACTTACAAACTTGATGCAGATTTTCCTGCCTCTCTTTAAGATTGAAACCTATGCAAGTTAAATTTCAGCGTGGTCCTAACACACACAGTCAAATGGTGATTATGGCTCTATTTGGGAAACACACTGAGTTTGTGTTTGTGTTCTTATTCCATTAGCTATAAGCAAATTTTGCACAGATATTTCAAGAGGTATGCTCTTGTCTTCTTAAAAGTAGATAGATACTAAATGTTGGAGAAGCCTACTCTTCCCATCATAACATTATTACTTAGGATTAACAGTGTTTTATATAGAAACTGTATTTCTTCTTTGGCTAGAAAAAAATAAAGATAGGAAGTATTGCTTTTAAACTGTATGCCTTTATTGAGCTGGGAAACTACTAACATTCTATTTTTTAATTTAGAAGTTGAAGTGGCAATGAAGTAGAGTTCCACTTATTTCTATCTAAGTTCTCTGCCTCTTGGCTTCGGATGGTGAGACAAGAATGATCTATCAGGACAATGTCATCACCTTGAACCTGAGATAAAGATTATTCTTGACTCTTATGTGAAATTGTTGATTTTGGAAGGTTGTATGGGTTTGTGGACCATAGCTGGTATTGTCAAGACAGATCTCAAGCTTCCCTGAATGGGAGCCCCAGTCAAGCGTAAAGGGGGAGACTTAAGTATGGAAATAAATGGAGAGTTGTTCTCCTTACTTCCCATTCTCTCTTCCCTCAGATTTAGTTTTCTTTTGCTGCTGTAATGAATTGTTACAAACGGAGTGACTTGAAACAACACAGATTGATTATCTTACAGTCTGTACATCAGAAGTCTAGTCTAATCCTGCTCTCCCTGGGCTACAATCAGGGTGTCAGCAGGGCTGTGTTCCTTCTGGCAGCTGTAGGGGAAATTCTCTTTCCTTGCCTTTTTCGGCTTCTGGAGCTATCTTGCAGTCCCCTCCCTCCATCCTCAAAGCCAGCGAGGCTCCGTGTCTTCCTTCCATCATCACACCTCCCTCTGCCCGCAGCCAGGAAGGGCTTTCTGCTTTTAAGAACCCATGGGATTCCCTGGGCCCACCTGGATGACCCAGGAGTTTCAGCTCAAGGCCCTTAATGTATCACAGCTGCAGAGTCCCTTTGGCACTATAAGGTAACGTGTTCACAGGTTCTGGGGATTAGGATGTGGATGTTTTTGGGGGAACGTTATTCTCCCTTCCACATCCGGATTCTTATTGTTCCCTGTATGAAGCTGGACTTGAACTTCTGAAGACTTTTCTGCAGCGCTCTGAAGGGGGCTGTCCCGAGACAGTAGGAGGTGGGAGGGGATTATTTGTCTGGCTGACCACCGTGTCCATCACGGTTAATGACACTTGCCTCTTGCAGATGGGTCCGCCACCCAGCACAAAGACAGAGGCTTTGGGGAGACAAACCCAACTGCCAGGGGAGAGAGAGAGAATCCAGCCTGGAAGGCAGCATGGGGTTAGCTTCCCAGCTCCTCAGCTCCCGAGCCCCTCAGCCCCCCAGCTCCCCAGCTCCCCAGCCCCCCAGCTCCCCAGCTCCCCAGCTCCCCAGCCCCCCCCGGCTCCCCAGATGGCCCCAGGTAGGCAGAGATTGGGGCAGAGGAGACAGAGTGGACAGTGACTGGATTCAGTAGAGTATGGAAACAGGGACGTGTGTTCCTAGAGAGCAGGGTCCCTGGCCCAAGACTGAGGTACTGCTAGAAGCTTTTGCCCAGCAGGCTGGATGGGCCCAAAAGTGCCAGGCCAGGCTGCAGTCCTGGAGGGAACCTGGCAGGGTCAGGGCAGGGATGTGGTTACTTCCACTGGCATCATGTCAGGATGGAGGGGCAGCCTGCCAGCAGGGGGAAGAGTCTCTAATGCCAGGTGGGGCTGTTGCTGCTCTGTCCCCTCTGGGGCTAAATTGAGGGCCTGCTGAGCCATCCTTCATTTGCGGGGAGGAAAGGGAAGCAGAGGCTGGAGGCCAGGCTGAATCTGACATCTAACTCAATTTCCTTCTCAGTGTGGGATAGTCCTGTCTCCTCCAAAGAAGATTTTAAAGTACATCAGTGTTCCCCTGCCCCCACCAAGATAGAATAATGGGAGTAATTACTGATGCTCCAGAAACAGCTTGAATAAGTACTCTTCCTTCTGGGCCAGGAAGACTGTGAAGATGTCTTATAAGAACACAGTTGATTGTATCAAATTAAAATGTTTCTTATTTTGTAATACATTTTGCCATTCTTACTTATTTTCCATTTTTTGCTTAGAGAAAGGAATTCTGTCGTTATAATGACTCCTCTGAAACGATGGCTTATTGCATCTCCACTGACCAGTACAAGAGAAGAGGAAAAGCTCTATGTGTCTGACAGTAAACATTAAGTGGGGATTTAGCTTGCTCATTTCCACGACATCCACAGTTAGGTTAATTCAGTCTCCAAAGAAAAATGATTTTACTTGAAATGTCTGGTCGTATACATGGATCAAAATAATTAAGACGTTTATGAAGCTCTGCAATTTTCTGGAGGGGACCTGCATGACTGTTTTCCAGAAAGTTATCAGATCTTGCTTTCCTGATTAGCAGCAGTTAGCGGGGTGGATAAAAGCACCCCTTCAGAGCAATCTCATTTCCATTTCTTTCAGGCCACTTATTTTTTCCAACTTTTTTTCCGTATCTTCATAAATGTTTCACTCTTCTTTTGTTAGTATTTCTTAGTCTCTTGAGTCAAGAAATATTTACTGAGTATGATTGCATGCATAAGTAGTGTGCGTTAGAGATACGATACCTGTAAGACACCACAGTGCTGGGTAGATCCGGGTGCCATTGTCTGTTGCCAGGGCCGAAGTTGGCATTTTGTAAGTGTTCGAATAAGCACCATGCCGTGGGATAAGAAATAAAAGTGTGTGCCTCATCTGTCATCTGTAGTTGTGTATATATGCCCTGTCTTCGGGCGGGCTTAGGTCTCTTCTCATAATTTGTGCCTTTTTGCTCATAACAGTCTGGTTTCAAAGACACAAAAACAGTTGTTGTTATTGTACTTAGATGAAGAATACAGAGCTCCTAGAAGGTTGATGAGTTCATGAAGAAGAAGGCTCTGGAACCAGGATCCCTCACCTTGGTGGACTTCCCACCACTGGAGCGGCTTCCCTGCCGGACCAGGGTTGACCCCGGCAAGGGCTCTCCCAGGCGCACATTCCTTTGCACATTGCAGCTGTTGGGAGACCGTACGTGATCTCACCATTCTCCATGGCCCCTTTCCATAGACCAGGCTGGCTGGGTGGCTCTGATCCTGATGCCCCACATGGCACTTTCTGCAGGTGCAGGTCCAAGGTGGGCCTGCAGCAAGGACTGGTCAGATTACTTTGAAAGGGGACAGGGAGGATGACATTTGGGGCAAGGAGAGTTTTACTCAGAACCATTTGTGTTGTCACCATCAGGGCTGGATTAAAACCTTTCAAAAGCCATCAACACTGAGAAGTGTATGGTAACCTCCTTCTCCATTACCATGTGTAATTTATATACTGAAATACATTGTGAACCATAACATTTCACTTTTCCCATTTGCAAAATTCTGAATAAATTCATTGAAACTGAACTTTTTCTATTTTTTCTTGCCCCTTCCTGCTGCTTCCCTGGACCTTGGTGTGGTCCACGCTTGGGCAGCTCAGTGGAGGTCCCACTCACAGACAGTGGGACAGAGGGATAGAGCCACACCACCAGCCACAGCTCTGCAGGCCTTTTGTGGTGACCCTCTCCCTGTGTGAGAAAGGCTGCTGTCACCTTCATCCTGAGAGCTGCTCCCAGCACTGTGCTCTGTTCCTGGGAAGGCAGCAGTGGGGTTGATGACTGGATAGCCCCTGCTGCACCCTGTACCTCCAAACAGTGCCCTTCAAACTTTTAAAGGGTGACCTACACCCTCTACATCCAGCAGCACATCATGGAGATCCAGGACACACACACGCAGAGAAAGGAAAATTTCATGAAACAACACTTAATCTGACCATGTGTAGTGAACTCTATTCTATTCTACTCTATTGTTTATTCTAGAATATTTCACTTAAATAATGCTTTGATTTCATGACCCACAACCTGCAACTTGGAAAACACTACTCCATACCCCAGTCCCCTGAGTCCCTCGCTGCTGCCCATGGATGTCAGGATGCCTCGTACTCTTGTGTTCACCCTGCTGTGCCTTCTGCTCAAAACACTCCTGCCCTATTCCAGCCACGAACCTATGAAATGCAAATAGCAGACGCCTTCCTGATGCCCCTGGCAGTAACCCTGCAGCGTTCCCCCAGGTCCCGCTGTCTTCCTTTGGCTCTGCCTCTTACCAGTGAGTGCCGGGCTCCCTGTGCAGCTGTGCACGCCTTTATCATCCCCTGGCCTGTGCACTCACCAAGCCCAGAACCCTGTCTTATTGATCTTTGTCTCCTGTGCCTCTGGTACTAGTGTGTGGCTCACAGTGGGCACTAAATCAGTCTTTCTAGCACTGCATTGAAAACAATATGCCCTTGAGTGGAGGAGACAGCCAAAACTTGCTGTTAAACCTAGGTGCATCCATTTCAGGGTTTCCATGTGTGGAGTGTTTTCATTAGCTGCCTTCATTATTTATTTATCAGATGCCAAAGCCTTGCCACAAGAAGCACTGATGTAACTTATCAGTAACCCAATGTTGAGATGTAGAGTTCAAAGATAAATAGAAACGTTGTTTCAAATAATGGACTCTAAAAAAAGCTTTTTTTTAGAAGCATAAAAATATGTCAAAATAGGCACTTTTCAAAATAATACTTTTTTCTTGTTAACTATCGTCAATCTTTTGGTACACTGTATGTAGAATGTTACTGGGTATACATACAGGCACCATTTTTCTTTATTTCTGATCATACAAGGGTAGAACTGGTTAAAATGCCCTCATTTTATAGACGAAGAAACTGAGGCCCACGAGGCTGGATGACGTTGTGAGATGCGCACCTGCTGAGGTCACCCTGCAGTAGTGAGATGCGCTCCTGCTGAGGTCTCAGCTGCAGTAGTGAGATGCGCTCCTGCTGAGGTCTCACTGCAGTAGTGAGATGCGCACCTGCTGAGGTCTCACTGCAGTAGTGAGATGTGCTCCTGCTGAGGTCTCAGCTGCAGTAGTGAGATGCACACCTGCTGAGGTCTCAGCTGCAGTAGTGAGATGCGCACCTGCTGAGGACACCCTGCAGTAGTGAGATGCGCACCTGCTGAGGTCACCCTGCAGTAGTGAGATGCACACCTGCTGAGGTCTCAGCTGCAGTAGTGAGGTGAGCACCTGCTGAGATCACAGCTTCAGTAGTGAGATGCACACCTGCAGAGGTCACAGCAAGTGATATGTGCACCTGCTGAGGTCTCAGCTGCAGTAGTGAGATGCGCACCTGCTGAGGTCATAACTGCAGTAGTGAGATGTGCACCTGCTGGGTCACAGCAAGTGAGATGAGCACCTGCTGAGGTCATAACTGCAGTGGCGAGATGTGCAGCTGCTGAGGTCACACTGCACTAGTGAGATGTGCACCTGCTGAAGTCACAGCAAGTGAGATGCGCACCTGCTGAGGTCACACTGCATTAGTGAGATGTTCACCTGCTGAGATCACACTGCACTAGTGAGATGTGCGCCTGCTGAGGTCACAGCAAGTGAGATGTGGACCTGCTGAGGTCATAACTGCAGAAGTGAGATGCGCATCTGCTGAGGTCACAGCAAGTGAGATGAGCACCTGCTGAGGTCATAACTGCAGTAGTGAGGTGCACACCTGCTGAGGTCTCAGCTGCAGTAGTGAGATATGCACCTGCTGAGGTCGCAGTTGCAGTAGTGAGATGCGCACCTGCTGAGGTCTCAGCTGCAGTAGTGAGATGTGCACCTGCCAAGGTCGCAGCGGGAGTAGTGAGATGTGCATCTGCTGAGGTCACAACTGCAGTAGTGAAATGCGCACCTGCTGAGGTCTCAGCTGCAGTAGTGAGATGCACACCTGCTGATTGCTAGTCTGGGGCTTCCTCCACTTCATCCTCCCTTCTTAATGGGGTGAAGATGAAGTGGGATATGATGGTCCCTATCATCGTGTCAACAAAATATCTCTTCAGTGTGAGATTTTTTGGACAATTTCTTGTTTTACACTTTAATTCCTTTTTTGAGAAAAGTGATGGGCAGGCCACTACTTCAGCCCTCATTTGAAGATATTAATATTCTCAGACTGGCGATGTACCTCCTCCTTTTCTTTTTCCAGACAAAAGTCTCACTCTATTGCCCAGGCTGGAGTGCAGTGGGATGATCTCGGCTCATTCCAACCTCCGCCTCCTGGGTTCAAGCAATTCTCCTGCCTCAGCCTCCCAAGTAGCTGAGATTACAGGTGTGCACCAGCACACCTGGCTAGTTTTTAAATTTTTTTATTTTTAGTATAGATGGCATTTCACCATTCTGGCCAGGCTGGTCTCGAACTGGCCACCTCAGGTGATCCGCCCGCATCTGCCTCCCAAAGTGCTGGGATTACAGGCATGAGCCACCATGCCCAGCCTGGCGATATACCTTCTGTTGCCTTCTGAACTGGACTTGTTGCATTGTACAATAAAAAAATTATGCTAATTTTCACCAGAGTTCATGGATTTGGCTTTATTTTAGAGCACCTGCTCTCATTAAAGATGTTAGCACATCAGAGAAAATGTAAATTGAATTTCTAACAAGCACTCTTGGATGGGAAAGGGGTTTTAAACAGAATTTCTTTGTTTTGTCCCTTTCAGCAAATACTATTGTCATGCTCCACAAGCTGGAACAATAACCTACGAAATAACCTGCTAGGTTATGAATGAAAGCATATATTTTGTGAAATTTGTGGTCATTTAGTTGGGTTGAAATGAAATAGTCACTGATGTTTATTTTCTTTATTATTTTCTTCAATGTTTTACCCTTACTCAACCTATGCACCTGGGAAAGGGGAAGGCTGCCAGTTGCTTTCTTCCTGTACCCTACCATGGACCCACAGCCCCTAAACTCCAGTACAATTATTCCCTGCACTATTGTTCTCTGCCTTAAGCATTAGAAAAGGGTTTAGGGCCGGCCTGAGAACTCTGTCTTCATTTGTCACATTGTTTCTTTGGGAAGACACATTCCCAGTTTCAAACAACCAACCTACAAATTAACTTTAGGGGCTGCCTATTCACTAAAAAAGAAGGCTGATTTCTGTAGAGCTGATTAGCTGAGCAGAGCTCATTAGCTTAGCTTAGTTTAGCAAGTATGATCTCCTTAGCTAATGTGACACCATAACATAGACGCTGCCACCCACCGGTGTCAGGAAGCGTGAAAGGCAGTCCAGAAGTGGCAAGCCTCATGGACCCGCCTGCAGGAGGGCAGACCCACTGCGGCTGCTGCTAAACCAACACCAGCAGGTGCCTTGGCAGGTGCTGAGCATGGTGGGCACACAAACGGGAGGACTTTTCCCAGTGGGGCCTGCCTGCACAAGCCAGGTGCTGGCTAAGGGCTGGTAGCTTACTTAACCCACACACTTCCCCCATAGTTGGTACTGTTATTAGTTCCATTTTACAGATGAGAAAACTCAGTGCCATATATCTTTGGAGTCTATTGTACAAAAATAGAATACGTTGAACATGGAAAGTGGCTTTCTATTTATTTATTTATTTTTGAGAGAGTCTCGCTCTGTCACCCAGGCTGGAGTGCAGTGGTGTGATCTCGGCTCACTGCAACCTCCACCTCCCAGGTTCAAGTGGTTCTCCTGCCTCAGCCTCCTGAGTAGCTGGGACTACAAGTGTGTGCCACCATGTCCGGCTAATTTTTGTTTTTCGTAGAGGTGGGGTTTTTCCATGTTGGCCAGACTGGTCTCGAACCCCTGACTTCAGGTGATCCCCTCATCTCAGCCTCCCAAAGTGCTGGGATTACAGGTGTGAGCCACTGTTCCCGGCCGGAAAATGACTCTTTTCTGAAAAATAATTTATGTCCTCCTCAACTAATTCCTAGGGCCTTTATTCAACATCCTTTGCTTTGATAAGACTCCCCAGTGGTGACAGAAGCCTTAGTGGATACTTGGGAGTTGCTTTAGGGAGAGGGTCTCTCCTGTCTCTCTAAAGTGCCCATTTGAGGGGATAAAAATAGCTGTTGACCGTTTCCTAGCAATGAGTCAAGGACAGAAAGTCCCTGGGGCAGGTGGCACTGTGCTTGGTTCATAGATGCTGAATGGAAGCTGGGTCCTTGTCTTTGGTTAGATAACTTGTTTTTAAATATATATTTTTTAATTTTGGAATATTTTAGATTTAGAGAAAAATGTTTAAAATAGCATTACAAAACTTTTTAGTTTGCTTGTTTATATTTCAGCTCTTCCTCATAAGCTCTTTAGCCATTGACTATTTTCTTATTAGGAGTTAAGAGTTAATGAATGGATTCCTTATGCGCTACTGACATTTCAGGAAAAAGGATATGCAAGTAAATTAGAAGCAATGGGTAAGAAAAGCAGCCCTCCCAGGTCCCATTCAGAACATTTACAGGGATGCCTTCAGAAGTGGTGGATTTCAACCTCAGTGGGTAAAGAGAAACAGGGCTGAAGCTCCCGTTTTATTTATTTTTTTCTGCTCATTAAAAATATATATTCTAAGTAGCTCAGGAATATTTTATGTTAGGGTCTAAATTCAGAAATGTGAAACAAGGAGAGAAACCCATCTGGGAACTTTTTTGCACCGCCAAAAGATCCAGCGCAAAACCTCCCCCAGGTGAGCTCTTTTTTTTGAGATGGAGTCTCGCTGTCTCGCCCAGGCTGGAATGCAGTGGCGCGATCTCGGTTCACTGCAAGCTCCGCCTCCTGGGTTCACACTATTCTCCTGCCTCAGCCTCCCAAGTAGCTGGTACTACAGGCACCCGCCACCACGCCTGGCTAATTTTTTGTATTTTTAGTAGAGACGGGGTTTCACTGTGTTGGCCAGGATGGTCTCGATCTCCTGACCTCGTGATCCACCCGCCTTGGCCTCCCAAAGTGCTGGGATTACAGGCGTGAGCCACCGTGCCTGGCCGAGCTCAAAATTTTTTTTAAAAAAAATATTCTTTCCTCTTAAAGTCTGGAAATTTTGGTCAGAAAAACCTCTCCAAGGGTTGATATTAATAATAATGGTAATGATGATGTGGAAAATATGTTGTACTGTTAATAATAATCATGGTGCATTTTTGCATAAGCAACTGTATTTTGAGCAATGATTTACTCAATTATAAGTGATTCTTTATTATAATTGACTAACTGCTTGTCACTTTATAAGTGAGGCTCTAGTTAGCGCTTTGATGTAATGACTGGCCTTAAAAATAAAGTGCTATGCAAGCAAAGACATTTTGTCATGAATTTGTAATGATTTAGTGTGATGGAGCGGGTGTGCTAACATGAAGATTAAATCATGGATGGGCTATAAATGGGGAATTCTGGATGGTTATTCCCCATCCCCCACCCCTGCTCGGACCTCCCCAATTTTTCCATCTTTGTTGCCCCTTCTAAATAGGATAATGCCACCCTTGACAATCATTTGTTTGAGTTAAACCTTGTCCTTTTGAGGGCATGCTTTTAAAAATATTAATTCCTAGCGGGAGAGGTAATGCATGAAGTTTATATCGTATCAGCTCCAGAGCGTGGATTAGCTCATCACTTTCCCACCAGGCCTGAGGCCCTGAACAGGAAGCTGCAGTTGGGGAGGGAGTGGGGTGATTCAGAGCTTGGAATCCTGGAGGACCGGGTGCTGAGAGGTGCACAGGAGGGAGAAAGAAGGTTGAAAGGATTTGAAAGTCGAAGGGATCCGTGTATCTGTTTGGCTATTCTTGAACATGTGATGTCTCCTCAGGTATTGCTATAAGTAGGATCATAATTCTCAGATTGAGGTTATGATGTTGATAGATTAGGACATTGAATCGTACCTTTGGTTGAATATGATTGCAGAAAAATATTATCTCAGAGAGCGCTGGATGGAATTTGGCTTGCTGAGCTAGTGGAGTATTCCCAGCTTCAGAAGAAATATCTGGTTAAGCCAGGGGTTCCCCAGCAGGGTTCTGACTGCTCCATTGCTAACTTATGGGGCACCTTCAGGTAAATGTAAGAAAGTCACTCCTTCTTCAAAATGGTTTATTTCTGCTGTCAGAAAATTATCATTATATACATATTTTTATTAAAATAAGACATTTCCCTCTGCTGGAAAAATTTCAAACTAAGGATCTAATTCCATGAGGTCTACAGTGTAAATGGTGCCGTTACTTGTAAAGCCCTTGTTCAGTGAACAAACCGCGCAGCTGAACATGCAGCCTTGCTTCCTTTTTCTCCAGTCCTCTCTTCTCCATTTCTTCAGCAATGCTGAGTCCTCACTGAGCTAATTGCCTGACATGCAGAAGAGCCTCTCTTTGTCTGCGGGTCAGAGAGGCAGTGAGAAGGGGGATAGAGTCTTGCTTGTCAGGCTCCAGCTACGAGGCATTAAGACATGCACCGGCTTTTATTTTAGCATTGCCGTTCTCAACCTTGGATTAGAAGTGCCCTGGATGTATAAAAGAATTTCTATAAATGTAATGGACACACATTATGGGCTAGGAATTTTATACGTCTCACTAGTCCTTACAACAAATGACCCTATAATGTAGGTGGTTTCGTGGCTCAAAGAGGGTGGGTGACCAGTCCACAGCCGCCCACCTAGTAAGCAGCAGAACTGAGATACGGACTTGGGCTGCTGGGTTGCAGAGCTGCTGGCGTCCCTGGTGGGTTTCCACACCAGGCCACCCTGTAGCCCCGCCCCTGGGAAGGGAGTGAGTGGGACCCTGCCGTCCCCTTTCCTACATGGCCGCTGTGTATAGGCAGCAGCGCAGAGGTGGTCTCTGGGTAGGGAACCCTCTGCCTCCTAGGATTCATTGGGGATGAAAGTCGCAGCTGTTTTATACTCTTCTTAAATTTTGCTTTCCTGTTAAGCCAAGATTTACTGGACACAAGAAAACTTCCCAGCAGTCCCCTAGAAGGAAAACTAACTCTTGGTAGTCTTCCCATTAGCAAATAAAAGTCCCCAAATCATTTTTGTAGACTGCCCAAACCAAGGCACTTTTCATCTGAGAAGACACAGCAATTGTCTCAGCTGTAAAGTAAAAGAGAATTAAAAAAAGGTGGTCTCTTTTGAAAATTCCTGTTGGTGCTTTGGCCATGTGATTACAATGAAATTGGTGTGCCTTCATCTTCAAAGGGCAGAACTCGGTGCTTATATGTTCATTTCATTGTAGTCTGATGGGACAGACACTTCTTGTTGGCCTGTCCTCATGCTCCATATTTATTCCAGGTTGATTAGGATGGCATGTGAACTTAGAACTAAATAAACCTTGCTTGGATGGGTCACCTGGCTAAGTAAACTTACCATGAACTTCTCAGAAGTAAAATAAGCAGGAAGCAGGTTTTTAAAATGCGAGTCCTCTATGCTCTTTTAAGTGCTGCCGTGTTGCTAGGAAATAAGAAACTCTTTGTCCTCAAGAAATGATAAAGGACAAATATAGAAGTAGACTCAAGAAGGAGTTAGCTATATTAATGACGATGAATCTTTAAGAAGTCATTTTGTGGGCAAGTTGTGATAGGTGGGCTATATCTCTGTTTTATACATCAGTTTTAGCTAGGATTAGGCTTTGCTGTAAATAATAGAAACCGCCCAAATAACAGAGGCTTAATCAAGAGAAAAGCTTATTTTTCTCTCACATAAAATGTCAGAGGTGGGCAGTACAGGCTGGCCTGGTGGCTTTGTCCACAAGATCTTCAGAGACCCAAGCTCCTTTCTGCTTTTTTTTTTCTTTAATTTATAAGTTCCGGGGTACATGTGCAGGATGTGCAGGCTTGTTACATAGGTAAACGTGTGCCGTGGTGGTTTGCTGGACAGATCAACCCATCACCTAGGTATTAAGGTCAGCATTCATTAGCTATTCTTCCTGATGCTCTCCCTCCACGCCCTCCAACAGGCCCCAGTGTGTGTTGTTCCCCTCCCTGTGTCCATGTGTTTTCATCGTTCAGCTCCCACTTCTAAGTGAGAACATGTGGTGTTCGGTTCTCTGTTCCTGCATTAATTTCCTGAAGCTCCATCCGTGTGCCTTCCAGCTCCATCCATGTGCCTGCAAAGGACATGATCTGATTCCTTTTTATGGCTGCATAGTATTCCATGGCATATATGTACCACATTTTCTTTATCCATTCTATGATTGATGGGCATTTGGGTTGATTCCATGTCTTTGCTACTGTGAATAGTGCTGCATTGAACATACATGTGCATGTATCTTTATAAAAAATGATTTATAGTCCTTTCGATATATACCCAGTAATGGGTTTGCTGGGTCAAATGGTATTTCTGCTTCTAGATCTTTGAAGAATTGCCACACTGTCTTCCTCCCTGCTTATAATTTCCTTATTCCCTAGGATGTGATCCTTGTTCTTGGGGCCTCACATGGCAGCTGGATCTCTGGCGATTGCATCTGAGTTCCAGACACCAGGATGGAAAAGAAAAGAAGGAGGGGCAAGAGGAACCCCCAGATGCTCCTTAAGAGCTACTGCGTGGCATTCCCACTTGCATCTCATTTGCTCGATCGCTGTCACTGTGCCCTAACGAGCTGCAAGGACACTGGGGAAATGAGTCTGTCTTGTACTTCATGTGCCTCTCAAAATCTTCTGTTGCTGAGGGAGAAGAGGCCAGCCGGTATTGAGGAACAACTAGCACTTTCTGCTTCCGCGTCCCAGGGGGATGTGGGTGTGTTGAATCCACACCGGGGGTGCGGACCTCTGAGGCTGGGCTGGATGGGACATCAGGTGGGCCCTCTGTTTCATTTATGTGACCTCCCATCAGGTCTTCTGGTTGGATCCTGCTTTCTAGAAGCAGAGGGAGCAGCGGGTTACGTATGTTTGTGACTCCTGCAGTTAGCATGCCTTCCCTCTGGCTCAACAGTGTAGGTAGTGTTCTCTTAGGTGACCTTTTCTGGTGAGGGGCTGGACAAGGGCGTGACTGCTCCCCTAGGTGCTGGGTGAATATGTTACTCGATAGATATTTACTGAGCACCAACGGTAAGTCAAGCTCTTGAGTAAAGTAGGGAACATACGCTATGCCAGGCCTCTGCCCTCGTGGAGCAGATGTTCTAGTGGGGAGGTTACATTGACTGGATGAAAGGGAGAATGCATGAATTGCACCCAGCCCTGTCATTTCCTCCTTCCTCTTCTTCACCTTCATCATGATCCCATGAAAGTGTTTCCGAGTGGTTTCCCATCTCCTCCAAGGCATGAGGAGAGGTTGGTCTTCTGCCTCACTGGCAGCTTTATTTTATTTTATTTTATTATTTTATTTTTTGGGGGGGGGGACAGAGTCTTCTTCTGTCACCCAGACTGGAGTGCAGTGGCGCGATCTCGGCTCACTGCAACCTCTGCCTCCCGGGTTTAAGCGATTCTTGTGTCTCAGCCTCCCGAGTAGCTGGGACTACAGGCACATGCCACCATCACGCCCGGCTAATTTTTGTGTTTTTAGTAGAGACGGGTATCACCATGTTGGCCAGGCTGGTCTCGAACTCCTGGCCTCAAGTGATCTGCCCGCGCTGGCAGCTGTTCTAAGAGGCATTCCAGTACCTGTTGGTCATGGAGAGACGCTCACAGGCCAGCTTCTCAGCACTTCCCAGACTGTCCTTTCCTTGTGGCTTCTGTCTGTGGCCAGGAGCCTGCCTGTACTTAGTGGCATTTTTTTGTTTTTTCATGGATTCTCTCTGGTCAGCCAAGCTGCAGTCAAAACATGCATTGTACTTATTTTGTATTCATCTTCCACGGAAAGTGGAAAAAATAAATAGGGCTGGAATGTGCTATGTCATGGTAGTGCTATTTGGGTCCAGGGGAGACATAAAATTGGCTGGATTTGTTGCAGTGCATTTTGTATAAAAAAATGATTCTGAATGAAAAAGTAAGAATTGATGTGTAAAGACTTGCAGATCTTTGAGCCAGAAATAATTTTGAAAACAACAAGAACAACTCATTACCAACTCAATTATCTGGCACCTTAGAAATAATAGGCTATAAGATAAAAGCTAGTGCAGTTTAATGAGGAAGTAGTCACTTTAGGCTAATCTGGTTTCCTTGGAAGCTCCAAGGTTGTGGCAGATGAAGGAGGTGGTAGAGGTAAGCTTACCTGCCTTAGCAAGATATTTGATTTCATCTCTCTTTTTTATTTATTTATTTTTTTGAGATGGAGTCTCACTCTGCCGCCTGGCTAGAGTGCAGTGGCATGATCTTGGTTCACTGCAACCTCTGCCTCCTGGGTTCAAGCGATTCTCCTGCCTCAGCCTCCTGAGTAGCTGGGATTACAGGCACACGCCACCACACCCAGCTAATTTTTGTATTTTTAGTAGAGACGGGGTTTCACCATGTTGGCCAGGATGGTCTCGATCTTCTGACCTCGTGATCTGCCCGCTTCATCCTCCTAAAGTGCTGGGATTACAGGCGTGAGCCACCGCGCCTGGCCTTGATTCCATCTTTAACACCACAGACATCCGTTAGCTGGAGGAGATGGTCCAGGCCAGTGGCTCAGAAGCTGCAGTGGGTAAGGATTCCTTGGGCAGCTTTTGAATATGCCATTTTCTGGATCCCACCTTAGATCGACTGAATCAGAATCCTAGGGCTTAGGGTGAGGTGGTAGGGGTAGTGATGAAACTTAGAACATGTGATTTATTAAAAGCTTTCAATGAATGAAAAAAAGCCAATCTCAAAAGGTTACTGTATGGTGCCATTTATATAACATTCTCACAGTGACATCATACAGAGATGGAGAACAGACAAATGGTTGCCAGGGAGGAGAGAGTGGGGGTTGGGGGCTGTAAGGGCAGTAAGGAGAGCTCCTTTGTGTGGATGGGACAGAAATGCATCTCGATAAATCTGTGTGAGAAGATGTCATATAATTGTGCATAAGGATATATCAAATAAACAAATGCATGCAAAAACTCTTGCCATCAGGGTAGGATCTGTAGTCTAGCTCATTGCCCTATGCAGCCAACCTCCTTTGGTTATGTGAGATGTCCCTCCTGGGGGAAGTTGGGTGCTGGTACTTTCTTACATAGAAGATAAGAGATGTGAAAAAAAGGTTAAGGTTAAGGAAAATAAGAAAACAAAGAGAGAAAGTAAAAGGTTGAGTACTCTCTGCACTATTTTTGGAGTTCCTTGTGAGTCTATAATTATTTCAAAATAAAATGCTAAAAAGGACTTTCCTTCCTGCATGTTCATGGTAAAAAAAAAAAAAAAAAAATTAAAGCTTTCCAGGCATCTCTGATGTGTGGCCACTGGTTTAGACCACACAGTCATTAGATATGTGTGCAATTGGTGCATTAGTGTGACATCGGGAAGGGTGGTAGGAAGATTAGCTTTAGATATGTAGTTTGTTGGAGAGATATATACATATATATATATTTATATTTTATTTCTTTTTTTTTTGAGATGGAGTCTCGCTCTGTCACCCAGGCTGGAGTGCAGTGGTGTGATCTCGGCTCATGGCAACCTCCACCTCCTGGGTTCAAGCAATTCTCCTGCCTCAGCCTCCCAAGTAGCTGGGATTACAGGCACCCACCACCATGTCCAGCTAATTTTTGTATTTTTAGTAGAGATGGGGTTTTGCCATGTTGGCCAGGCTGGTCTCGAACTCCTGACCTCAAGTGATCTGCTCTCCTCAGCCTCCCAAAGTGCTGGGATTACAGACGTGAGCCACTGCGCCTGGCCAGTTTGTTGGATATTTTATTAATAGCTAGTAATAGAATGGAGTTTTGTTGTTGTTGTTTGTTTGCTTGTTTTGAGATAGAGTCTCGCTGTGTCGCCCAGGCTGGAGTGCAGTGGTGCGATCTTGGCTCACTATAACCTCTACCTCCTAGGTTCAAGTGGTTCTCCTGCCTCAGCCTCCCAACTAGCTGGGACTACAGGCACTCACCACTGTGTCTGGCTAATTTTTATATTTTTAATAGAGGCAGGGTTTCACCATCTTGTCCAGGCTGGTCTCAAACTCCTGACCTCAAATGGTCCACCCACCTTGGCCTCCCAAAGTGCTGGGATTACAGGTGTGAGCCACCGTGCCCGGCCAATAGAATGCAGTTTGCAGTGGGAATTGTCTTAGCTTGAAGTGGTCATTACCTTCACAATTCAGGTGGAAATGGTGGTACAACTCAAGTACTTTGGAGAATTGGAGAATGAGGAGTAATAAGCACAAGCGCACCATAGTTAGCCTGGATAGCAGGAGACCACGTAGGTGCACGCCCACGTCAGAATCAGAGCAAAACCATTTGTCAAATTGTGGACATGAAGTTCTGGAAATAAATTTTCATGAGAGCACCAGTGAGGATATAGCGTTGGGAAATCAGGTCCATGAGAAAGAAGAAAGGCTGTGGGATCCGTATTTTTTGGCCCAGAAGTTACAGATACAACAGCTTTCAAGGACATATGTTTTAGAGAGCCCGTGGGGTTAGCTGTTTGGCATCAGCGCCAAAGTGAAAGGAGGTCGGCTCACAGTACTGAACGGCAGATTGAAGGGAGACTTCAGGAATAGTCTTGGAAGTGAGGGAGACGGTGAATGAGGGAGGAAGTGGGAAGTGTAATCCCTTTCCATAGAAGCGTCTAAAGTGCCAAGAACAGTGCCTGGCATACAGTAGACACGCACTCCGTGTTTGTAGAAGCGGTGATGTGAGGCCCTGCAGGGGGTCGAGGGGTGGGCACATGGTTCTGCTGCTTCTCTCTGCCTCTCAGCTCAAAGCTGAGTCTTCACCACAGCAGACGACTGGGGACAGCCCTAAAACACAGAGGTTTTGCTCATGATACGCCACTGAAGATTTACATATGGAGAGAGAGCTGATGAACAGCTGTTCTCGTCTCCTCGCCTGGCATCTTACAGGTGGATACAGCTTCTCTGATTCTATTTCACCAACACTCACTGGTAAGACGTCACTGCCTTAGTTTGCCTCAGGAAGGGGAATTTCTTATTTCATAGTTTTAAAATTACCTGAAATAGCAGATAATTCTTTCAGAAAGATTTTTTTTTTCTTTTAAAGGTATCTCTGTTTTAAAGCTTTTCTTCCTTCCTTTCTTTTTTTTTTTTTAAGTCAGAAGGCAGCCAAAAATTCCTCACATTCAGAGACTTAGTGGGCTGGATGTGTGGGAGCTTTCTACACTGCATTTTCTAAAATGTCTTTTTTCCGTCTAAAGCCTGTCTCCATGGAGCCTCAAAACTCCTTTCTACCCACAGCAACTTCTTTTCTTTCTCTGGAAAATGTGTGCCTGGACTCAGATTCCATCCATGTGGCTTCTCATGGACATCTGTGATGAGTTACAAGGTGTCTGTTGAATGCCACTGTATTCCCTCCACCCTGGAAAGGCCGGGACGACACTGCGCAGGTCACCCAGCACATTTCTCTCTGTGCTATTATTATTATTATTATTATTATTTGGCTTGAGACAGAGTCTCACTCTGTTGCCCA
Organism: Homo sapiens; assembly: GCF_000001405.40. Classification (NCBI taxonomy): domain Eukaryota; kingdom Metazoa; phylum Chordata; class Mammalia; order Primates; family Hominidae; genus Homo; species Homo sapiens. Next base: position 157,413,981 of record NC_000006.12, read on the forward strand.
GGCTAGAGTGCAGTGGTGCAATTTTGGCTCACCATAACCTCCAACTCCTGGGTTCAAGCGATTCTCCTGCCTCAGCCTCCAGAGTAGCTGGGATTACAGGCATACCATGCCCAACAAATTTTTGTATTTTTAGTAGAGACAGAGTTTCACCATGTTGGCCAGGATGGTCTCAAACTCCTGACCTCAGGTGATCCTCCCACCTTGGCTTCCTTTGATTACAGGCGTGCACCACCATGCGCAGCTGAGAGAGCACTGGGTTCTTGTTCTGGCTCTGCCGCTGCCTCTGGCATGCCCACGGCGAACTCCCTTTGCCTCCCTGGGCTTTGCTTTCTTCATCTCTGAAAGATGCCGATGGCCTCTAAGCTTCCGCCCATCCCCCAGTGATCTCAGGTTCTAGAAAAGTAGGCTAGCTGGCACCCTTGATTATGAAAACCATGGTGCCACCCTTCCACTTCCACCTTTAAAATAAGGCCAAAATGAGCATTCTGCATTGGCTCATGCTGTGCTTGGAGGAAGGGGAGCCTGAGGAAGTGCTGGTGTTGTAGTCTGAAGTTTCCAAGACAGTATATGACTATGAGATGTTGACCATCTCTATGGGCTGCAGCTGCTGCCAGAGACTTTCATCCAGGCCAAGAGACCTATGGGATGCACATGTGCAGGGTCATTTGTCCAGGCCACCACTGGGCACAGGGAGCCTAGTTTAGGGTCTTTGCAATGTCAGAGGATATTCAGTGTCCATATCGTACAGTTGTTGGTTTGTGTTTTTTCCTGACAGACTTACGAAATTCCTTCACATCTTCTTTCCATTTGAATTCTGCACCATCTAGTTCAGGTTTGCAGCTTTTTTTTTTTTTTTTTTTTTAAACAAATTTCTTCACTGCCTGATGAAATTGTGAATTCTGTTCTTTCTCCTTGCCTGTCCCAAGTACAGGCTTTCGAGACATTTTGAGAACATTTGCTTGGATCTTCGTAACTCTCATACCTTTGTTTGTCTCTATAGTTACAACTCTAAAGTCACTCTTATGAGGATTCAAGGACTTAATGGACCACACTTCCTAGCGAGGACAGTGGGGGGATGTTGGCAGAGAAAGTGTGTGCTAGGCTGGTCCCACTTACTGTCAAGAGAACTATACTGATAATATTTTTGACTCGTCCAGCTTTTCAATCGGTACATCTTGAATAAACCATTGAATGACTATTTCTTTTTTTCTTTAAAGTTCCTTTTATGTTCTGGGCTGTGCTAGGCTCTAAAAAGCTATTAAACAATATTGTAACTAATATTGTCATAACAAGCTACTGATACTGTCTTTATTGCCAGTTTATCAAAGGGCTTTGCAAGGGATAGGAAGGTATTTAAAAAAAAATCACCACTCTCAGACAAATTGGTAGAGGCAGTAAGGACAGGGAGTGCTATTTCAAGAATGAACAGAGCTCTCCAAATGCTTATTGAGGAAAGAATAGAAATTGGGTAATATTAGGGCTTTTATAGAACAGGTGGGATGTGCTCCATGAGAGCAAAGCTTTTCAGCAAAGAACTTGTCAGAAATAAGATGATGTCCATTTTTTTTCTATCCTGAATGCTTTAGAAGGGTGGATTAAAAGTTGGTGGCAAGGCCAGGTACGGTGACTTACACCTGTAATCCCAGCACTTGGGGAGGCCAAGGTGGGCGGATCACTTGAGGTCAGGAGTTTGAGACCAGCCTGGCCAACATGGTGAAACCCCGTCTCTACTAAAAATACAAAAATTAGCCTTCATGGTAGCATGTGCCTGTAATCCCAGCCACTTGGGAGGCTGAGGCAGGAGAATGGCTTGAACCTGGGAGGCAGAGATTGCCGTGAGCCGAGATGGTGCCATTGCACTCCAGCATGGGTGACAGAGTAAGACTTTGTCTCAAAAAAAAAAAAAAGAAAAAGTTGTTGGCAAAAATAACTCCAAGGGAGGTATAATTTTCGAACTTGAAGAAATACCAAAGACAGCATATTCACTCAGTAATTCTGATGAAGTGCCCCACATGCAAGCTGGGCTTTAAAAGTAAACCTGGGAGGCCAAGCAGAACCTGGATCTTCCCAAAGTTATTCTCCAAGCATCACGGGCAACTCTCATCCCTGGCAGGTAACAGCCATGTGGATCACTGGAAAAAGCTATTTGGCTTTGGAGAGCACATGTGTGCATTTGGATTGTATCTTTTAAAATTTATTTTACTTAGGCTATATTAATATTAATGTGTAGTCCCCTAATTCATATCACTATCAGTAGCTAGAAAGATTGTAGATGATTTGAATGAATTTCTAGGCAGTGATTTTTCTATATATATTTGCCATTTGAATTTCTGTGAAGTGTTATAATTGAATCCTTTGAACATTTTGAAAGTATTTTTCATCTTGATTTAAGAAATTATAGGCTGGATGCAGTGTCTCACGCCTGTAATCCCAGCACATTAGGAGGCCAAGTCAAGAGGATTGCTTAAGTTCAAGAGTTTGAGGCCAGCCTGGGCAACACGGTGAGACCTTCTATCAAAAAAAAACAAGCAAAAAAAAATTATTCAGGTGTGGTGGCACATACCTGTGGTCCCAGCTGCTCCGGAGGCTGAGGTGGGAGCTTGCTTGAGCCCAGAAGATACAGGATGTAGTGAGCCATGATTGTGCCACTGCACTCCAGCCTGGGTGACAGAGTGAGACCCTGTCTCATTAAAAAAAAAAAAAAAAAAAAAAAAAAGATAAACGTAGTACATGCTATGGTAAAAAATTCGAACAGTATAGAGGCCGTTGAATGAAAACTAATTCACCTCCCACTTGCCACTCCCGAGTTGTAGCCATTGTTAGCAAATTTTTTTTTTTTTTTTGAGACAAAAGTCTCGAACTGTCGCTCAGGCTGGAGTGCAATGGCGTGATCTTGGCTCACTGCAATCTCTGCCTCCCGAGTTCAAGCGATTCTCCTGCCTCAGCTCCCAAGTAGTTGGGATTACAGGTGCCCGCCACCATGCCTGGCTAGTTTTTTTTTTTTTTTTTTTTTTTTTTTTTGTATTTTTAGTAGAGACAGGGTTTCACTGTGTTGGCCAGGCTGGTCTCGAACTCCTGACCTCGTGATCTTCCTACCTCGGCTTCCCAAAGTGCTAGGATCACAGGCATGAGCCACCGCGCCTGGCTCATTGTTAGCAATTTTATGGCATCCTTCCAGAATTGTATCTATGTGGGTGTACGGGTGCTCGTTAATCCTGTTGCCGTTTGCTCTTATCCAATTCTGTATGCTCCTTAGTTCCAGAAACAGGCATGTGATGTCCTTATGCATCTGCTCTGCCTAGTTAGATGCTGTCATCCCTACCCAAGATGTGGATAAAAGCATGTGTGTATATTTTACACAAGTGAGATCCTACTACATATACTGTTCTGTACTCTGTTTTTTGTCAACTAATCACGTATCGTGGACATTTTTTTCATATCAGCACATATAGAACCCCTCTCCCTTTTTAAGAGCTGCTTAGCATTCTGTAATATGGATGGACCCTAATTTACTCAGCCAGGATGGACTTTTGGGTTTCCAGTTTTTAGCTGTTATTAACTAGGCTGCAGTAAACAATCTTGGACATAGAGTTTGGCACATAGTGTGCCTTTGTTTGTAGGATCATATCAGATGGCTTTCAGCTGCAAGTTATAGAAAATGATGACTTACATTGGCTGATATGATACATAAATCTATTATCTCCGTAAAGGCGAAGAAGGCCAGGCATGGTGGCTCACGCCTGTAATCCCAGCACTTTGGGAGGCCGAGGCGGGCGGATCACGCTAATGTGGTGAAACCCCGTCTCTACTAAAAATACAAAAAATTAGCCGGGCGTGGTTGCGGGTGCCTGTAGTCCCAGGTATTCAGGAGGCTGAGGCAGGAGAATGGCCTGAACCCAGGAGGCGGAGCTTGCAGTGACCTGTGATTGTGCCACTGCACTCCAGCCTGGGCGACAGAGCGAGAGTCCATCTCAAAAAAAAAAAAAAAAAGACGAAGAAGCCCAGGGTCAGGCCGACTGCAGGACCTGTTGGTCCATCTGCTTAGCGATGTCTCGGGGCCCAGGCACTTTCCTCCTCTGCACTTACCCCACATGGTCCCAGGATGGCTGCACTGACTCCAGGGGACACATCCAGACCTGACATCAGGAAAAGGTGAGGCCGTGGCTTCCCCTGGGTCCTTCTCAGAAGTGAGGAGGCCCTGTCCCACGCGTGTCTTATGGCCCATTCTCAAACCCATCAGAGGTCAGGGTGGAGTGTGTGTTAGAGGTCAGTTTTTACACTTGGTAAAACGATGAAGTCATGCAAATGGAATTGCTGGGTCAGCGATTTTAAAGCTACATTAAAAGTTTGCAGAATATTCCCAAATTGACTTATGAAGATATGGAACCAATTTATACTCCTACAGGCATGAACGAGGGTTAAGCAGTTCGAGAAGTGGGCTATAAAGCTGAGTGTGTTGCACTTTGCTTTCTAGAGGATGTATGGAACAGGACATGTTTTTATTTGACTGTTCATTATCAGAGGCCTGTGCCCTTTATCTAGGAAGGATGTCCAAAGCAGTGGGGAAAAATGATAGGTTTAATAAAACGTAGGCCTGGAAACATGGCTTGTTCATATTTTGGGAACACAGAGAGGCCTTTAAATGATTAAATTGCTTCAAGACTTCGAGTGTGCCATTTTCCTACACAATGAAATACAGATAGCTATGTTCTACCCTCCTCAACCCATTCCCCATCTCTCAGCAAATACCCAGTTCAGTATTCCAGAAACATTTTAGTGAGTGAATGTAGCGCCAAACTTCTTCAAATAGACCCATCTCCAAATCATCCACCAGGTGTATGTTTCCTTGTTAGTCAGAGCCCCACACATATGTCCAAGATAAGGCTATTTAAAGACAGAGTTACTAAGCTGGGTAGAAAGCACTCAGGGAACTTTTAGCAATTCAGTTATTATATTGGACTGCTGAAGAATTGTACTGGACGATTGCACTATAAGATGCTAGGAGGTCATATATAGTGTAGTCCTTGTGATACAATTCAAATGCACTTGCAGGTTTAGGGCCATTTGTGGAGCAGCAGGCTTGGAATAGGACTGGGGAATTCAACCATTTTTCTCCTCTAGGGACTGTGGGATCCCCATGTCGGCGGAAATGAGTTTTCATTTCCTGCTGTCTTCCTCCTGAGGTTGTCCCTCCAGTCTTTGGCTGTGATGATAGTGTGGTACATTTGTTACAATCGATCAACCTATATTGATTCATGATTATTAACTAAAGTCTACAGTTTAGGGTTTACTCTTTGTGTTGTATATTCTATGGATTTATGTCATGCCTAATGTCATGTGCCCATCATTACAGTTTCATACAAAATAGTTTTTTCATATCAGAAAGGCTATTTTGTATGATACTGTATCAAACAAAAAAGCCTTCTAAATTCCCTGTATGGTACAGTATCATACAAAATAGCCTTGTAAATTCCCCATACACCCTCCCCATCCTCTGCCCGAAGTCTGGCAACCACTAGTCTTTTTACTGTTTCTATAGTTTTGTCTTTTCCCGACTGTCGTAGAGTTGGGATCATGCAAGATGTTGCCTTTTCATTTGGCTTCTTTCACTTAACCATGTGCATCCAAGGTTCCTTTGTATCTTTTTGTGGCTTGATAGCTCATTTCTTTGTATTGCTGAGTAATATTCCATTGTATGGATATACCACCATTTGTTTTTCTATACCTAACGAAGGACATCTTGGTTGCTTACAATTTTTGGCAATTATGAATGAAGTTTCCATAAACATTCCTGGGTAGGTTTGTGTGTGGACATAAGTTTTCAGGGGACGTGATTGCTGGATATATGGTAAGACTGTGTTTAGCTGTGTAGGAAACCACTACATTGTGTTCTAAAGTGGCTACACCATTTTTCATTTCCATAGGCAGTGAATGAGAGTTCCTGCTGCTCCACATCCTTGTCAGCATTTGGTGTTGTCAGTGTTGTGGATTTTAGCCATGCTAGTAAATGTGTAGTAGTATCTTACTGTTGTTTTAATTTGCAATTTCCTAATGACGTGAGACATGGAGCATCTTTTCATGTGCTTATTTGCCATCTCCCCAGGTTATTTTAAGGTCTCTAGCATGGAATGAAAACCCTCACAGTGGGAAAGCAGAATCGAGGCACTGATGAGAGAGAAGGTATAGTCATTGAAGGGGTGGGCTGAATCAAGGCACTGATGAGAGGAGAGAAGGTATAGTCATTGAAGGGGTGGGCTGAATCGAGGCACTGATGAGAGGAGAGAAGGTATAGTCATTGAAGGGGTGGGCTGAATCAAGGCACTGATGAGAGGAGAGAAGGTATAGTCATTGAAGGGGTGGGCTGAGTCAAGGCACTGATGAGAGGAGAGAAGGTATAGGCATTGAAGGGGTGGGCTGAATCAAGGCACTGATGAAGGAGAGAAGGTATAGTCATTGAAGGGGTGGGCTGAATCGAGGCACTAATGAAGGAGAGGAGGTATAGTCACTGAAGGGGTGGGCTGAATCGAGGCACTAATGAAGGAGAGGAGGTGTAGTCATTGAAGTGGTGGGCTGAATTGAGGCACTGATGAAGGAGAGGAGGTGTAGTCATTGAAGTGGTGGGCCATTACCAGTGCGACTGAGTGGCCTCGGTCAGCTTTGAGCACATTTCAGTAATGACTTCCCTTCCTTCACTCTATAGAAGTAGGTTGCTCTCTACGAGCATAGGTCAGAACTTGGTCACATTTCAGCCTAGTAGGAGCGAATGACTCAGAAAGAGAGACAACATCAAGGACGGATGGGAGCCACTGCTTGAATGGAGAGATGTGCTGTTAGGTGTCTGCAGTGGCCTTGTTGGTTGCCTATCCACTAAACATTGCGCTCCTCTTCCTTGGCAACAGAGCCCTGTGCGGTAGGCCTCAGGAGCAGCCGTCCTGATCTTCAGCTCAGGGGAGGGCCTGAGGTCTCAGATGACCCCACCTCATCTGAGTTAAGCTAGCTTCAGTTAGGTTTTCTGATGCTTTGCAGCAGAACACATCTGAACTAACGTAATACCTTTTTTAGTAAGGCACTTCAGTTTATTTTTTTTTGTAGCAAATCCTCAGTGTTACTAAAAAAGGGCACTGTAAATAAAGATGGGTGTTATTATGACCGCAGAGCCCAGAATTGATATCAAGTAGACTTTATACCAAGAGCTTGGAGTCTAAAAGTTTTCCATAAGTCAAGATAGAAGCAAACTGCCTGGGCGCGGTGGCTCACGCTTGTAATCCCAGCACTTTGGGAGGCCGAGGCAGGTGGATCACGAGGTCAGGAGATCGAGACCACGGTGAAACCACGTCTCTACTAAAAATATTAAAAAAAAAATTTGCTGGGTGTGGTGGCGGTCGCCTGTAGTCCCAGCTATTCGGAGGGGCTGAGGCAGGACAATGGCATGAACCCGGGAGGCGGAGCTTGCAGTGAGCTGAGATCGTGCCACTGCACTCCATCCTGGGCTACAGAGCCAGACTCCGTCTCAAAAAAAAAAAAAAAAAAAAAAAAAGATAAAAGCAAACTGCTCAGTGTACTGTGCTTTGAGAGCCTTAATGGAAAAGCACTAAAAGAATAGTAACAACTAACATTTGGATTGTGTGTTTCTTTTTTCTTTTTTGAGACAGAGTCTTGCTCTGTCGCCCAGGCTGGAATGCAGTGGCACAATCCCGGCTCACAGCAACCTCCGCCTCCTGCGTTCAAGCAATTCTCCTGCCTCAGCCTCCTAAGTAGCTGGGATTATAGCCACCCACCATGACGCCCGGCTAATTTTTGTGTTTTTAGTAGAGACGGGGTTTCACCATGTTGGTCAGGCTGGTCTGGAACTCCTGAGCTCAGGTGATCCACCCGCCTTGGCCTCCCAAAGTGCTGGGATTACAGGTGTGAGCCACCGCGCCCGGCCTGGATTGTGTGTTTCACATAATTATTTCATCTGAAGATGCATTCATTCACTCAGCATGTATTGAACTCGTTCTAGGCTTCAAGAGCCTCATAACGATTCTGAGGGGCAGGCGATTTAGCTCCACTTAGCAGGTAAGAAACTGATGAGGTGAGGAAACTCGAACCCACGTACCTGGGTCTCAGTTGAGAGCCCTTTCCAACCGGCTGGACTGTAGCTTTCCCCAGCCCCATCCAGAGCATTTCCAGGCATCTGGAGGCTCTTCTCTGGATAGTCTTAGGTTAGCTTTATTAATCAAGGGATAACAGTAACACAGAAAGGTGGATTGAGGGTGGGATGTCAGAAAACTCTCTGTGTTAAGATAGATGTGGACATTGGTGCAAGGGTTGCTGTCAGAGAAACAATGCAAATTGTATTTTTTTTTTCTCTGCCAGATGTTTCCCATACATGTTCAATGAATGTTCCAGATTTTAAAAAATTCCATCTCCATTTCTGGATTCTGTACTTCCATCCCACACATCCCAGATTTAAAGGAATAGAAGGGACCCGTTCGCTATTATGAAGCTAAACTCAGCAGCCTCTAGTGGAGCGTTACCCCGGGAAGCAATCAGCTCTGATAGGACAGTGGGAAGACCATCAGTGGCAGGTTACTGGTTTTCATAGAACCCGAGGTAACTGAAAGCTTCTCATGGGCACTTGCTATGTGGCAGACTCTACACTCTGTTTTCATTTAATGATTTTTAAAGATGCCCCATGTTTTAAGGTTTCTACTCTCCATGATCAGGACGGGCACGGTAAGCCCTCTCTGTGATAACCAGGAGGAGGAAGAGATAGTACAGTAATAGCATGCCCAAGGCATTTGTATCGACCCCTTCTGTGCTTTTTATATTTTTAAATTTTGTACCTTTTTATTCTGTATTTTATATACTTCTTTGCAAAACAGAGTGGCTCTTCCCACAATCTGTCCCGATGGCCTTTTGGGTCAAGGAGCACAGATCTGTGTAGTTATAGGAAAAGCAGCTGAAATGTGTGTGCTTTACTAACTTTACTTCCCCTCTTTTTAAAAAGCAGTTCATTTACTCTTTCTCATGCATTCTACTTTTCAGTCGATAAGGAAAATGTTTTCCAGGCCAAACAAACTAGACTGAGATCATATGCTTGTCAGGAGACACAAACCTTCCCTCAAGGCAGCTGGCACTTGAATGGGTAAAAGTTATTGTTGTTGATATTCCTTAGCTTAATAAGGTCCCCAAAGTGGCATTGACTTTGAGTTCTACTGACTTTTCATGTGACTTTAGGCCTTAATTTTCCCACCTCAAAAATGGGATGAATGAAGCCCCACTGGCCGGATAGTCACAGCTGAAGGAACTGACACAGATATTGTAAGTTTTAGGGACCTTTTAATTTTAAATGTAGGAGGACTCTTGAAAATCCTTTTCCTTTTATTTGGAATTTGTGATTATTCATATGGTGCGGCAGGGTGCTGGGAAGACCTAGACTTTTTTTTCTTAGTGCAAATGAGGTATAATAACATTATCCCTAGGGAAGCAGATGAAAGTAATAAGCAGGATTATATTTTTAAAATTTCATAAATAAAGTTCCCCTTTTATTTAATCCAAATTGGTGAGGGTTTACTAAGCATTGCGGGATTTTCCAGGTATGAATTTTCGGCATGTATAACACTGAGATTGGGTATTCTGACCTCCAAATATTATAGTCTGAAGAGACTTGAAAACATCCACTTGTTAGATCTGAAGTTGTTTGACATAAGACGGTGGCAAAATCTCTGTTTTGTAAGCAAGGAGAATGCATCCCAACCTACAGGCTAATCCTTGAGAAATGTGGCTTCCAACTTGCTGAGCCGATTTAAACTCTCACCACTCCAGGTGCCATCTGTGGATTTGGAGGATGGCATCGTGTAGGAGCTCATTGGAAAAGCAGAATCTCAGGTTCCACCCCAGACCTGCAGACTCTGACCCCCCAGGCGATTCGTGTGCAATATGAGGTTTCAGAGCACACTGGTTCAGGCATCCATCAGCGCTTGTGTAGCTCCCAAACAAAGCCCAGCCTGGCAGGCGCTTGAGGTAAGCTGGGCCTCAACTTGTCCCATCCAAAGCTTCGGCTTATTTCACCTGAGTTTTAACAGATGCGTGCTTTGCATAACAGTCTGTTCGCACCCAAACCAAATACACTTCTTTTTCATATCAAACAACACATTCACTGAAATGATTTCTGTAGATGTTTGAGAGGCAGCCACTGTGTGATATATTTAAACTCACTTTGTTCTGTCTGAAAAATGTGTTGAAAAGAATTCTGAACAGAGGGGAAAAAAGGCAAACCTTAAAGGGATATTGCTGTGATAAAATGGTATGCCAGTGGTGGTGAGAAATTTTGTTTTGCCTTCAGGACTTATTTGTTTATTAAAGAAGAGTGAAGGCAGTATGGAGATGTCAAGCCACAGCTCAAGTAAACGTTGAATCTGACGAGGTCAAACTCAAACACAATCACTGCCCTATTTTTTGGTGGTGCGATTTTGAATCAAAAGGGGGACTGACAGCACAGATAGGGAGAGAACAAGTGTCTTTCTGAGGCTTTCTGAGCTTGAAGCCGTCCTGTTCTCCAAAGCTCTAAGCGGAACACCTGATTAGCAGAGTCAGAGAGCAAACGTGGTGCTTCGCTTGGCTATGAACAAACAACTGGTTAAAAAGCCTTTCTGGAGGTTCTTGTGAAATCTGTCTGGGGGCCCAGAAACCCTGCCCCGAGCAGTGATTTTAGTAACATGGGGATAAGTTTGCAGGAGATTCGATTAATGATTAAATGAACAAACCGGGAGTCCTGGTTTGACTTCTCTTTCTCACCTCCCCTATCCAATCAATCACAACGGCCTGGGAATTTCTCCATAGAAATATCTCTCAAATGTGCCCTTCACTGCGTCCCCAACCCCACCCCAGGCCCCAGAGTCAGCTGGGCCCAGCTTCTTCAGCAGGATCCCTGCCAGGTGTCCTAGGTCACCCGCCAGCCCGCCCACTCTCACTCTTCAGTCCATAGCCAGCCACACTGCAGCCAGAGGGAGCTTTTCATATAAACTCCAAAATCAAGAGTGTTCTGATGTTTAAGACTCCCATTGTTATTTTTATTGGGGTTGCATTATGTTTATAGATTAATTTAGGAAGCATTGACATTGTCTTATTGTTGAATCTTCCTGTCCAGGAATGGACATCAAGTTTTCTGCGTCCCTCAGGTTAATTTAAATTCTCTTCATAAGGATCTTGTACAACTCTTGTTTCATTTACTGTTAATTTCACCCTCTTGCTTCTATTATAAATGGAGGCCTTTCCTTCTAATATCTCTTGAAACTGGTTATTGTTCATATACAAGCAAGTTATTGATTTCTACATATTAACTTGCTTCTACCACCCTACTGAATTCTCTTATGGTTTGAGTAGTTTCTTAATGGATTCTTTGGGGGTTTTTAGCTGTATAGGCATATCATATGCAAATAGTGAGAGCTGTACCTCTTTTTTCCTCATTTTTAAATCTCTAATTTCTTTCTCACCCAATTATGTTGGCCAGCTCCTCAAAGAACAATGATAGCGGACATTGTGTCTTGCTTTTCAATAGTGAAATGCGACTAGTGTTCCCTTTCTAAATGCTGAATTTTGGTTGCGATATCTGCATTTTATCATGTTAGGAAATTATCCATCATTACTTCATTAACTAAGCATTTTTGAAGAGGGATCTTTTCAAAAGGCAGACTTGATCATGTCACTCTTCTGCTTCCTGGTGTTCTGAAGTAGAAACTAAAATTCTTGCCTGCATCCCCAGCCCCTGGGCCATCCGGTCCCTGTTTCCCCTGCAGCCTCATCTGGCCAGATGCTGCATTTTGCTGCCTGGGCTCCAGCCACACCGGCTGTCTTGTAGCTTCTAGAACGTGCTGTGCCCCTGCCAACCTTAGAACCCTTGGACACCTGTTTCCTCTGTAATGCTTGCTGCTCTGCCCTCTGCCACCCCACAGGTCTTTGCCTAACCACCTCCTACTATCTTGCAGAGGTCATCTCAATAGGCACTTCCTCACAGAAGTCTCCTGATCCCCCAACCAGACTGGCTCCCCATCTAGTCCCCTGCATTCTACCTAGAGAGGCAGATGGGGTCAGAGTGTGAGGATCCTGGGGCAGTGAATCTGAGGCTGCCAGACCAGGGGTGGAAGGTCTAAAGGAGGCGGTCATGCTGCTCACGTTCAGATGTGAGAGCCTCCCGCAAGGTGGTGGTTCTGGGTTGGGCAGGAGGGATCTGGCACAAGGAACGTTATGGAGATGAGAGCTGCACAGCTTGACACTGAATGGATGCTGGGTGGGGAGGTGGGGAAGGGACAGCTAGGATGACCTAAGGACTCGACTTGGATGATTGGATGGTGTCATTCACTGAGATGGGGATTCCAAGAAGAGAGGCAATTTTAAGGGAAAAATCAATGAATTTGGTTTGGAACATTCAACAGTCATTTATGGAATGCCAATGGCATGCCACATGCCGCATTAGGGTCTTAGGATCGAGGGTGACCCACAGAGCAGTTTGGCCCCCACTTCATGGAGCTGACTCGTTGAGTTTGAGGGGCCTACGGGGCACTCAGGGGGAGAAGCGCACCAGCTCGCAGGATGTGTGGGTCTGGCACCCAGAAGAGAGGGTAGCCTGGTGCTTGACACTGGGGAAGCCCTGGCTGTGGGTTTGGATGAGGAGAATCCTGGGAGAAGGTGGAAGAGCCGATCAGAAGGGGATGCTGGAGGAAAACAGCGGTCAGGTGTGTGGGAGGGAACAGAAAGGATGGGGAGCTGGAAGCCGCACTAGGAGGGAGTCAGGCCACGGGAGAGGGGCCAGCGTGAGGTTCTACAGAGCTCAGGAGAGAAGCCGGGAAGCCGTCTCACCTTTGGCCATTGGGAGGCCGTTCACCTCCATAAGAGCGTTTTCCGTGGAAACGGAGACTTCATTGTAGTGGGTTGAAAAGTGACAGCTGGGGCTGAGGGACCAGGAAGTGGGCGCATCCATTGCAGACGGCCTTTCTATAAAAGGCAGCTGTAAGGGAAGGAGAACTTAAGATAGTGTCTGGAGGAGAAGGTAGGTGAGGAATCGGTCTAGAGGAAAAGGAGGAGAGGCACGGTGCGAGCTGGGGTGGCAGGGGAGCAAGGGCCCCAGGGAGAAGAGAGGGAAGGAAGAGGGCGTGCAGGGCGGAGGGACAAGGCTCAGGCGTAGACCTGGAGGGGCATCGGGCCTGGGAGCACAGGAGGAAGGAGGAAGGGCGGGTGGAGGGGCAGCTGTGGGAGGGCTCGCCTCATGCCCTTGGTTTATCTGTGTTCAGAAGCCAGTGTGATGGTTGATTTTAAACATAATACAGCAAGTGGGCAGAGATGTGAGGGTTGGGGTCTCAGCGTTTGGAAATGTCACTCAGTGAAATAGGAAGGGAAAGTGTCTACAGAGATGCGCAGGATGCAGGGCCCCGAGGACTGGAGGGCATTTATGTTTTGGGGAATCTGCTTCCCACTCTGCTTTCTCCAGCAGGGCCTACCAGCATGGGTTGGCGTGGGGGTGAGGATGGTTGGCTGGGTTCACTCAGGGTTGGAGTTTAACAGAGCAAATGCAGGACCAGGAGGCTGGAAAGTCAACAGCAATGGCAAAAGGGAAACTGATGTGATAAATCACGGGGTCCAGGCTGGCAGAGATATGAGAGGAGAACAGAGGGGCCCGCAGGCAGAGGAACGTGAGTATTGAGATGTCGGCATGGGAGGTGGCTTGGATTTTCTTTTCAGAAATGGCAGATGCGCTAGGGCTGTTCCTCCTGGAGTAGTGGGAGTCAGAAACACACTGTGAGATTGACCACCTTCCATCGGAGTGTGGAAACAGGTTTTCATCAAGATCCTTTCCATGACATTGTGGCCCCCAAGGACAATGGAATGGTGGGGCTCTAGTCTTCATCTTTTCTCAGTAACAGCATAAAGGATGAATCTAATAAATCACAATAAAACTTTTATTGTGATTAGAGGAATATTGGGCTCCTGGAGGGCTGTTCTGTCATTGATATGTGCTGTGTTCACTTATCCATGTGAAGGAGGAATAGGGATCGTGAATAGAGGAATATCGGGTTCCTGGAGGGCTGTTCTGCTGTCGATATGTGCTATCTTCAGCACCTTATTCAACCTCAATATTTTCTGCCAGCAAAACTGTTGAGAAGGGGAGGAGAGTGCCGCAAAGGCAGTGTGCTGACACGACCTAAGCCCTGGCACAGTCATTTTGGTGTTTGCATGGGTGGCAGCAACACAGTAGGAAGATAAAGGGCTGCACACACACCACAGAGACCCTGCCCACTCCCACCCTCCGGTGCCCCGACCTTGCCAGCTCCTCTGCCATAGAAATCCTCTCAGGAAAGTGGACTGGATTTGCCAAGCAGGGTAGTGTTTTTCTAAACCAGTGATCTGGGAACTGGTATTCGTCTAAAATTAGCCTGTGAAAAGATAAGCTTTAATATATGTCATTAGGTGGAATGACAAGTAATTGAGAGTAAAAATTCCCATTAAAAAAAAAATCTCCGGCAAACAAGGTCATCTTACATAAAAGGGTACTGTGACTTTTTCAGCTGCTTTTTATAGCGGTGCCCTCTGAAACTAGTGGCCTGTTACGCCTTGTGGAAGGGCACCCGAGAGAGGCGCATTCCTGCTTAGCGAGTCCCCCCGCCCGCCCCACCCCGCCCCTAGCCCCCGAGCACAGGTGGCTGGGGTCTCAGGCCAGATTGCTTATGTGCTCACTAGCAACCTTCCCAGTATAAAATGGAAGTCTGATCGAGTCAATTACAGTGCATTGTTAGTCGTTACCTGTTCTGGTTGTTGCTCCTTACATAAAGTTTAATCTCTTTGGTTTGTTCTGAGCAGTCAGAGGTCTCAGCTCCCAGCCAGTGCTTGGTGCTTTCTTCGTTACTGTGAGCCCTCTACTATGATTTCACTCGAGTGACATTTATAGCCATGTACCTGGTTGACAGGAACAGTGAGTCACGGTTTTCCACATTCAGCACCTTTGATTCCTTCCCTTCAAGGGATGATGAGCTTGTGAGTGTGTTTGCGATGAGTGATTTTATCATTGAAATGACTGGAACCTGCAAGTCTGAGTCAGCTCACCCTGCATGGATGGTGGGGGCGTGGGGGAAGGGAACGGCCTAGGATCCACTAATTCTTTGAAAACATTTCTGGGGGACAGGCTCCATGGATCTGTGCAGTGATCATCTCGGCATGGGCGTCGAGACTTTTAGGTCAGCATTTTTCCCACTGAGAGGTGTAATCCATTACTAGGTCATGAAATCAACTTACTAGGTTGCTGGTCAGAATGGAGAATAGAATAGAAACAGAGTAGAATGGAAAATAGAGTACGTCTCCTTTGATAAGCATTGGTATTGTTTTGTGAAACTTTTGTTTCAGTTTAGTAGACTGTGATATAAAAATGAATTTATTGCTGTGGTTAATGGTCCAAAAACTTTGCACATCACTGCCCTAGATGGATGGTAAGTCTTTAACTGATGAGTTCCTTGGGTGGGTATTGAGGATGATTGACTCATTTTTGTATGCCTTTGCCTCTAGCTGTATGTAGCATATATTAGAGGCTCACTAGCTGTTTGTAGAAGGAAGGTAGGAAGGAAGGAAGGGAGGGAGGGAGGGAGGGAGAGAAGGAGGGGAAGGAAGGAGGGGAAAGAAGGAAGGAGAGCAAGGAGGAAAGAAATAAAGAAGGAAGGAGGGAGATCCGATTTTACAGACTTGAAGGGCTGGATAAAGCAGGCCTGGAAATCATATTTCATCTCTCAATATCATTCCAGGATCTCAGCAGCCATCTGTCTTCTCCTCCCTTTTCAAAACCTCCTCCTAAGTGATCTGGAAAGGGAGTTGAGGAAGTCTCCCATATGATGGCAAGAGACAATGGAGGTAACCAGCTCCAAACCAGCAAGCCAGAGTTCAGGATGATAGAGAATCTTCAGGAGGGAAGGAGAATGGCTAAGAAAATTGCTGTCTCTGAGCAGTGCCAGGGTTAATGGAATCTCTACTCAAGAGATCTTGATTGGATAACACGATGTGTTTGCTATTGCTGCTGTAACAAATTTCCACAAATTTAATGGCTTAAAATAGCACACATTTATCACTTTGGGAGGCCGAGGCAGGCAGATCACGAGGTCAAGAGATTGAGACCATCCTGGCCAACATGGTGAAACCCCGTCTCTACTAAAAAATACACAAATTAGCTGGGCGTGGTGGTGTGCACCTGTAGTTCCAGCTACTCGGGAGGCTGAGGCAGGAGAATTGCTCAAACCTGGGAGGTGGAGGTTGCAGTGAGCCGACAGTGTGACACTGTACTCCATCCTGGTGACAAAGCAAGACTGTGTAAAAAAAAAAAAAAAAAAAAAGCATACATTTATTGTATTACAGTTTTGGAGGTAGGAAGTCCAAAATGAATCTCTTTTGACTAAAGCAAAGATACCAGAAGGGCTGCATTCTTCCTGGAGGCCCCAGAGAGAACCTGTTTTCTTGCCTTTTTCAGCCTCCAGAGGCTGCCCCCGCCTTTCCCTGGCTTGTGGCTGCCTTCCTCTGTTTTGAAAGCCAACAATGTCAGGGCGGGTCCTTCTCACACTGCCATCTCTCTGGTCCTCTCTTCCAACTTTTAAGGACCCATGTGATTATATTGAGCTCACCAGGATAATGGAGGGTAATCTCCCTATTATAATGTCAGCTGATGAGCAGTCTTGCTTCCGTCTGCAACGTGAATTCCCCTTTGCCATGTCACTTAACGTATTCACAGGTTCTGGCGATTAGCGTATGGACATCTCTGTGGGACCACTATTCTGCCTACTGCATATGTTTTGAAGATCTTCAATCACTGGTGGCCCTGCCAAGGCATTTGTATTTGTGTGGCATACAGTAGGGCTGGACATGTGTGCATGTGATAAATCCATTTCTACAGAGTTAGATAAGATAGTCATCTCTGGAGAAAGATGGGCCTGACACCTGTTTTGACTGGGTTACTTGTAAAGCCAGGTTATGATACATTCTGGGACTTCCTCAGAGCTGTTGTGTTGCTGATCTGCTTGATGGACTTGTCTGTAAATAGCAGCTGTCTTCATCTGGCTCACAGACTCCCATCTGCCAGAGTGTATACGGGACACAAGGTGAAAGGAACGTGAGTGTGGGTGGTTGTAAGCCAGCACTTACATCAGGCTCTGTGCAATTGTTTGAATTTAATCTTCAGAACACTCAGTTGATGTGGGTGCCATCACCGTCCCTATTTAGAGATGATCAAGGCTCAGGGAGGCTTGTAATTCATCCAAATAGATCACTCAGCTGGTCTAATTGTCAGGGCCAGATTCAAGCCCTAAAGTTCTTCCCTGTAGGAACCATACAGAGTGGGGAGTTCAGTGCCAGGCTCCTAGCCCTGGAAAAGAATCTTTCTTTGTTGGGCTAACTGTGTACTTGGGTCACCCACCTCCATGGCAGGGACCATAGTGCCCATGTCCCATATCCAATGCAAGGGAACGCACTGTGTTGGGAAAGAGTGAAGGAGCTGCTCTGTGGACAAGAATTCTGTTTTGGAGACTGAGGATGGAGGACCTTAGTGTATTTGATGGTGGTTATGGGGCAAGGGTCTAGGTCATTGCTAGTGTGGGTCATATTGAAATCTCTTCACTGCTGAGGCTATCCAGGACTACTCACCTCCTTAGGAAATTTGATCTGAACCAAACAAGCCACAATAAACCAAAGAAGTTACCTGGCATTTTTGCTTTGGCTTTTTATTTTTTAAATTTTAATATAATTTTTTTTTTTTTTTGAGACGGAGTCTCACTGTGTCACTCAGGCTAGAGTGCGGTGTCATGATCGTGGCTCACTGCAGCCTCAACCCTCTGTGCTCAGGCGATCCTCCCACCTCAGCCTGCAAATAGCTGGGACCACAAGTGTGCACCACCATACCTAGCTAATTTTTGTATTTTTTGTAGAGATAGGGTTTTGCCACGTTGCCCAGGCTGGTCTTGAACTTCTGGGCTCAAACGATCCACCTGCCTCAGCCTCCCAAAGTGCTGGGATTACAGACGTGACCCATCATGCCAGATCCCTTTGGCTCTTAAGGGAAATGTTGCTTTCATTTTTTACTCTTGGACCTTTAGAAATGCTCAGCCAGTAACAATCTACTGAAGGAAAAGGGCTCCCAAGGTGAAGAGTGCAGAGTTCACCTCCAGTTTCTTTATGTTTGTGGTGAAATTTGTGTGAGGTGCCGTTGGAGGCTTCATAGCTGTGCATATTTGAGTTTTTAAATAAATGGAAAACATTTCCAGCAAAAAGAGGAAAGAACCTTATCTTGCTCATCTTTCTATCTCCAGGGCTTGACAGAGTGGGTGCTCAACAACTGGGTTGAATGAATAATCAGATTATTCATTCCTTTGTTAATAAAATAGCAGTGCAGTCGGAGGCTGTGGGGGAGAGTGGGGCAGAGCCCTTACTTCAGGGAGCTTACTAGCAGGTGTGGTTGCCCGGGGCTGCTTTGGAGAGGTAAGTAGTTGTGCCAATGGTGTGAAGCTGTGGAAGAGGTCATAAGTCAACTGAGGCTTGCCTGCCATCACTGTCTTCCGGAGCAATTTATTTTCGTTGCCTGGTAGCCTTCCAATAGGAGGTGGTTTCTTGGATCATTTCCATTGTAATTTAATTTAAAATTTGACTTCCTGCGTGAGAGAATGAATGGTGTTGAGGCTGCTTAGAGGCAGACCTGTTTTGTACTAGAAATCTAATCAGAGCTGTTTCCCCAGGATTTTATGAATGGCAAAATGGCTTTCATGCCCCGTAAACCACTGACACGAGCCACCTGTTTCAACCTATAGTGACACTAAGGTAACACCAAAAAATGGGGCAGGAAAACAGCTTTTCATGCTTCTGGAAGTTGCCAGGTACTGTTGACATTTAAGCATGTGCAATTTTGGGGCCCATTTTTATGTTTTTGGATCCAGATGGTTGTTCCAAAAGGAGCACTGTCCCTGCTGATCAAGTGGGAAGCAAAGAAACAAGTTTCCTTCTGCGCTGAAATCCCCGGCGTGGGGCGGCTCTGCTGCCGTCGCCATGGGGCTACAGCATCTCACCGCCCAAGAGCGGTGTGCCTGTGTCTAATGAACGTGTTACATGGCCTGTGTGGTCACTTTTCTTTGAGAACCTTGTCATGTGCCCTAGCAGATGGCAGGTTTGCATTTGGGCATGAAACCGAGCACAGTGCTGGCACGATCACTCTATTTCTTGAGACTTACTTAGGTAATAAGAATTTATAATTGAATTAAGTTGGCTCTTATAATTAATTGCTTTGATTCTGATGATGTGGACACATGATTGCAAGCTAAATACCAAATATCATTATGTATCTTTTCTGATATCGAAAGAAGGGTAGTTTAAATAAAAAAAATTGTAGCCCCCTTGAATAATGCTTTCCGTTTGCCTAAAGGTGGAAACTCATAGGTATTCACTAAATAAAGAAAGAAAAAGATTACAAAAGTAGTGACCAAGATAAAACCAGAGGCTTAGGGCTCTGAGAGTTCAGCCTGGGCCGTGATGTTCAGGAGCAGCTGTCTACCTGCAGAGTCCTGGGCAAACCACTTACCCTCCACGGGACTGTTTTGTCCTGGTTACAACGGGAGGAGTTGACTGGGTGACCCCAGGGTCTCTTTAGCTCTAAAAATTCTCAGATTGTGTGACTGTGGTACTCTGAAGGGCAGGTTTTGGTAATAGCATCAGGACCGAGTGTGTGTGCTCACACATGCACACAGACACCCCCACTCATGATCCAAAGCACAGCTGGTGGCCTTTATCGGCCTTGACGAGTGTCCTTTTCAAATGGAGACTTTATCAAACAGTGACATGGCATGTGCTGTGAAAATGGTGACTGTTTTGATGTCTTCCAGTTGGCTGGCTCCCATCTTTCCAGAGGGAGCACTGGACTTCTGGGTAAAGGAAATAGCAGTGACCAGGAACAAGAGAGCCACCCTCCACACACATACTTTTTTCCTGGTAATTGTACCAGTATGTGACTTAGCTAAGTGTACACATCATAAATAGCTATCAGCCCATGTGATGCCAGAGGCAATGGCTCAGTACATGGTTTTTGACCCTCCTGAGATATATGCTAAAAGATTTTTAAAAATCCAGTTCCAAGATTACATAACCGCCAACAACAAAAAGAAAATAGAGAAGAAAAACGGTATTAGTATTAGACCTAACATATTAATTGCTGATGACTTTTTTTAGAGAGAAGCTAGCTTATAATTTTATATATATATATATATAATTCTTTTATATGTTGAGTTCAGGGTCACTGAACTATTCTGATGTTCTGAATAGACTAAGCCTGGGCCAGTGCAAATTTAAGGCTTGCCTGATTTCCCCTGTTAGGGTCCTGCCAGCCGGCCGAGAACACCCTTAGGAGCTGGGCCTGTTCACACCAGACAGGTGGATGTTTCCTCTGAGCCCGAACTGGACTGGAGTGGCCCTGCGTTCTCCTTTGTCCCATTCCCTAAGTCCCCCTGAGGACTTTATCTGATGAGGCCATTTCAGCTTGGTGATCACTTCCCACTAGTTCCTCTGTGCCCTTAAACATTTTATTTGGGTCATAAAAACACAATTCCATGAATCATTTAGGCCACAGTAAGAGCTGCAATAGGGCTTTCTTTTAATATCCTGTGAGTACTTTCAAAATGGATCTTTTGCCCCAGTTTTATTCGTTTATCAAATGTTTGTCAGTGTGGTTGGGCCACCTGAAGATGAGCACCCAGAGAGCTTGGCACGACGGGGAGGAGCCGGACTTTTAACAAGGCTGCGCCAGTGCCCTCCTGTCAGTTAGACTGTCTGTGGAGCTATTTGCTTAATGAAACTGGACCCGCTCCATGACGGAGAGAATCCTGGCGTGACATGTTTTGTAATAGTCCCGTCTGGGTTGGCTGTGGCCTTGAGAGAGGGGATCTGCTCAGGGCTTCCCTTCCTGGACTGCCAGCAAAGCTTTTAGAGAACACACTTTCTGGGTTTCTCCCAGGGAGACTTATTTGTTTTGACCTTTACACAAAGACATAATGCAGATTATTCAGACCATCGCTGAACACAGATCTCCATGGCTATGCTCATAGAAAATTGTTTTCACTCCGGAAGGAATCGCCATAGCAGTTCCTCGGGGGTTCTTTGCATATGTTTATCCCACTTAATACTCATACCAATCTTAAGAGCTTTACAGATGGGGAAACTGGGGCTCTGTGAAGTCACTGGGAAGAAGCAGGACTAGGATTTAACACTCTGTTTGCTGCCCTGGGGCAGGTTGCCGTCTAATCCAGGCAGATGAGGTAAGTATAGAAATCCGAGAAGAGGGCAAGAGCAAGGGTGCCCCGCAGAAGTGCTTGCACACATGGAGGGAGGGTAGGAGAAGGGAGGGAAGGAGGGACTGCAGAAAGTCTTTGTGATATCGATGACATTGGGATGAACCTTGAGGAAAGGCTAGGACATATGTATGCAGATGTGTGCCTCTTAATTAATGGCAGTTTGTGGCATTAGCCTATAAGCTCAGTAAGGTGGGCACCCTCCTTTCCTCCCTCATTTCTCTCTCTCTCTATCTTTTTTTTTTAAGATAGGGTCTGGCTCTTTTGCCCAGGCTGGAGTGCAGTGGTGCAATCATGGCTCACTGCAACCTCTGCCTCCTGGGCTCAAGTGATCCTCCTGCCTCAGTTTCCCAAGTAGCTGAGTCTACAAGTGTGTGCCCCCATGCCCGCCTAATTTTTGTATTTTTTGTAGAGACACTGTTTTGCCATGTTGGCCAGGCTGGTCTCGAACTCTTGGGCTCAAGCGATCCTCCCACCTTGGCCTCCCAAAGTGCTGGGATTACAGGTATGAGCCATCATGCCTGGCCTCCTCATCTCTTTCTTCACTGTATCCCAAGGGCCTGGCAGCGTGGCAGAAAGCCTGGCACATAGCAGGCAAGTGCTTGCTGTATGCTGTTTGGATAGAGGGCTGGGGTGGGTAGGGGCATGGAGGATATTTCAGGCAGAGAGAGCAGCATGGGTGTGAAGAATTAGGGCAGGTTGTAGTTTATTTTGACTGGTGACTTGGGCAAGGAGAGGGCACTGAGTAGCTGATGAGGGAAGGCAAGTAGGTGGAGGTCACACTGTGGGGGATTTTGGAGGCCAGGCTAGAGAGTCCATAGAGAGGCCAGTTCCCAGAGTCCTGCCAGGTGTCAGTTTCAGAACCTTGGATAACTTAATGTTTCCGATCCTCCTTTTTTTCCTTATTTGTAAAATGGAGATAATGAAGATGCAAATGGAGATAATGAAGGTGCAAATGGAGATACGAGGTTGTTTGGAAGATTAAATAACATAAGATCTGTCAAATGCTTGCCACTGAGTCCACACGCAGTGAAGCATGTGCTTGGTAACAGTTGGCTATTGTTGTTATCCTGAATTCACCAGACAATGGGAGAGCATGACTTTCCTGTAGGGAAGCGATACGATTGGGTCTGGGCTTTTAGGTCAGTGAATCTGGCAGCAGTAGGATGGATTGGAGCAGAGGCAATGACCCTGAAGGAGATGCAGTAGTGAGTTAATAAGCATGAGAGTCGCCCAGGTGAGAAGTCATGAGGACTTGAACTGCTGGGGGAGGGGGGGCGGGTAAAGGGGGGTTGCAGGAATAATGTGATGATGGGCACAGGCGTCAGAGCCCTCAGAGAGGTCTGCGGGACTTGGCAGTGAACTAACGGAGAGGGACGAAGGCTTGAATCTGAGCCCCTAGAGGCATAGTGGTGCTATTCATGGGAAGAGGGAAGCCAGGCACGTTTGCTTCAGGAAGATGATGAGTTCAGTTTGGGTCATGTTGGCTGCATAGTGCCTGTGGAATTTCCAGATGTGGAAGGAGGCCCAGATGCTGGAGGGAGGTCGAGGCAGGGCAGTCATCAGGGAGATCATCTACGCAGAGCTGTCTGCAGGGAGTACAGGGGTGGTCTGAGGTGCCTGGAGTGGAAGGTGGTGGGGATTGGGGTTGTGGAGGAGGCCTTCATCCACGGGGCAAGGGGCATCCTGAGACTTAGCAGCCACTGAAAAGGGGAGAGGGCTGTGACTGTGCATGTGACATGGTGACAACAGCTGGGCCTGCTTCCATAGCCCTACCCTGGGACTGCAGGTCTACACAGTGCAGCACAGGCCTTTCCCAGGATTGGCCGGCCACACATGGGCTGGAGCATGGGCTCTGCATCCGTGAGAGCACTGGGGGCCTTTGCTGGGCCTCCTGGTTCTCAGGTCCCATGAAGCTTTGTGCTGTACTGTGCCTTCATTTTCAGAGGGCACCTGCAGGGGCCATGCAGGAATGCCAAATAAGGTTAACGGATGCTTCCTTCCATAAGGAGGCCACTTTCCCTCCAGAGGACACCTAGATTCTCTTTATAGTAGTGTCGTGAAGATGAATGGCGGTGCTGAGCTGTGCTCCCGAGTGTCCCGGGCAGGCTGTCGCCCTGTTCTGTCTCCAGCCTTGAACAGGTTTGTCTCTGTAGTGATACTGGAGTTCTTAATCCTTTTAGAAGGAAGCAGTGAGTGCTCTTCCCAGAAGAATTCCTGCATATGCCTGTATACAATACTTGGATCAATTCACTGGGCTCACAGGTCCCTGGAAGACCCCAATTAAAGAATCCTTCTCTCACAGGCTCAGTCTCTGCATTTCTTACTCGTAAAACGACCTTTCCTGTCAGGGTAAAATAGATTCAAATAGGTATGACTAAAGGCTACTAACTCTTCTCTGCAACAGTGTTAGTTGATTGCTACGGGATAATAAATTCATATATTTAAAACCAAAAAATATAGCTCTATGTGTGCTGTGATTCATTCTTCCCCATATTAAATTAGGTGATTATATAGGTCAGATTTTTACAGAAGAAGGACAAGTACAAGTTGGTTAAATTTATGACCTTAGTATTTACATGGGATGGTAGAGTTAAAAAAAAAAATCCAGGTTTACTTTCTTTTTATTTTATAATTTACTTGGTTTTCTAAATAGGTATAAAGCTAATTAAAAGTTAGGTGTACTGAACTATCATGTTTTTTTTATTGAGGTAAAATATACATAACATAAAATTTACAATTTTAATCATTTTAACTGTACAGTTCAGTAGCATTTATTATATCATGTAGTTTTAATTAATCCTATTGTGAATAATTTCTAAATCTTCAAAAAAAATGAGAAAGTAGAAAAGAGTGTAATTTACCCAGAAAAAAATATACTTCTTGAACAGGTTGCTAAGGTGTCACAAATTTGGGCTTTCCTGGCAAGAAGAATGCAAGCATTTAAGGTAAGAATGCTTTATGGAAAGTTCTTGTAGATTCTAGAAATAGGATTGTTTTTCAAATGGAGTGATTAATTTTATTTTGCAGGGAGAGGAAGGAAATCTCTAAGGTAGCCATATTAAGATAATTTTAAAGATTGTAAGGTTAAAATCTGGACTTTGAGTTGCATTTGGAAGTACAGAAAATCAGCAAGACTCTTGAAGACAAATGCCACGTGCAGACATCTCTAGTTTTCATCAGCTGAAGTTCACAAATTACCTTCACAGTTATCTCAAAGTACAGCACAATGCTGAAACCCCCCTGTGAATTTGCAAATGTGAGGATCACCATAGTAACAACCATATTAAACTTTACATTTTAACATTGTTCGTACAAGACGCTTGTGTCTTTGTAAGACTTTCTCAGGGAATAAAAAGTTTTTCCTTCCACTGTACCACAAGATATTTCCTGCTTATCTCAGGCATTGTTTTTGAAATCCGAAAGTCTGGATGTCATATTAAAAGCAGCCAAAATATTCGTGTTGGTGTCAGGATGTTAGAGTACTATTTCCAATAGCAGTTGGAGCTAGAGCTGTGGAATTTATGGATGTGTTTGGCTGTGGAGGATTGCAGAGAAAGCTGTGGACAAATATATTTTATAAGTGATAAATTCAGAGTATTGTCTGGGCGGTAGAGAGTGCCAAGAACTGAATTCATCTAGAATTGAGCATTCGTGCTGAGTTAGCCACTCCACTGCTTAGAGAATCATATTGCCAACAAAGAGTTTTTCTGGCAGTTCATGTGAGGGTCATTGAGCAACTTTTAAAAAAGTACCCTGTCACTTGGGTTTGGTACAGTTCCCCATCCAGAGAAACTCTGTCATGTTCCCTGTCTAACATATCCATTTATATCTCTTATTTCCTGCTAAATATTTCCGTTCTTCATTTTCAAAACATCTTAGGGCCTTTAAGAAAATGGCAACTACAGTTGCAGAGTGCTAGAATGGGAGAAAGTTTTTGCAGTCTACCCAACTGACAAAGATCTAATATCCTGAATCTACAAGGAACGTAAACAAATTTACAAGAAAAAACAACCCTATTAGAAGGTGGGCAAAGGACATGAACAGACACTTCTCAAAGGAAGACATTTATGTGGCCAACAAACATATTAAAAAAAGCTCAACATCACTGATCATTAGAGAAATGCAAATCAAAGCCACAATGAGATACCATCTCACACCAGTCAGAATGACCATTATTAAAAAGTCAAGAAACAACAGATGCTGGCAAGGCTGTGGGGAAATAGGAACATTTTTACACTGTCTGTGGGAACATAAATTAGTTCCAACATTGTGGAAGACAGTGTGGTGATTCCTCAAAGACCTAGAGCCAGAAATACCATTTGACCCAGCAATCTCATTACTGGGTATATACCCAAAGGAATATAAATCATCCTATTACAAAGGTTCATGCATACATATATTCATTGCAGCACTATTCACGATAGCAAAGACATGGAATCAACCCAAATGCCCATCAATGATAGACTAGATAAAGGCAATGTGGTGCATATATACCATGGAATACTATGCTGCTGTAAAAGCAGACAAGATCATGTCCTTTGCAGGGCCATGGATGAAGCTGGAAGCCATTATCCTCAGCAAACTAATGCGTGAACAGGAAACCGAACACCGCATGTTCTCACTTACATATGGGAGCTGAACAATGTGAACACATAGATACAGGGAGGGGAACAACACACCCTGGGGCCTCTTGGTGGGGTGTGGGAGGAGGGAGAGCATCAGGAAAAATGGCTAATGCATGCTGGGCTTAATACCTAGGTGATAGGTTGATCTGTGCAGCAAATCATCATGGCACACGTTTACCTATGTAGCAAACCTGCACATCCTGCACAGGTACCCTGGAACTTTAATAATAATAATAATAATAATAATAATAAAGAACACTTACAACTCAATAGCAGAAATACACACAGCCCAATTTAAAAATGGACAAAAGGCTCAAATAGACATTTCTGCAAGAAGAACCAGCAAGCCAAAAGACACATGACAAAATAGAGAAATTAGTCACTAGGGAAATGCAAGTGAAAACCACCCTGAGATACCTCTTCACACCCACCGGGATTGTGATAACTGAAAAATAAAAGGAACATACAAGTGTTTATGAGGACATAGAGAAACTAGAAACCTTGTACATTGCTGGTGGGAATGTAAAATATTGCAGCCACTGTAGAAAACACTTTGGAGGTTCCTCAAAAAATTAAGCTTAGAATTAATATATGACCTAGCAATTCCATTTCTAGGAATATACCCAAAACAATTGAATACAAATACTGAAAAAATACAAACATGCACATGTTCACAGCAGCGTTCTTTACAATAGCAAAAATGTGGAAACAGCTCACATGTTCATCAATGAGTTAATGGATAAGCAAATTGTGGGATGTTCATAAAATGAAATATTACTCAGCTATAAAAAAGGAATGAAGTACTGATACATGGTACAACATGGATTAACCTTAAAAACAGGTGCTAAGTGAAAGAAGACAGAAGCTATCACATATTTTATGGGAAGTGACTGCTTCATGTGTACAAGTTTTCTTTTGAGATGGTGAAACTGTTTTGGAATTAGGGAGAGTTGAGCTAAGACAACATTGTGGTTATAGCAAATGCCACTGAATTGCATACTTTAAATGGGTAATTTTACCATATATGAATTTTATCTTCATAAAAAGGGAAAAAAACAAACGAAAAGGAATGTGACTTATGGGGGTCTTTTCAGTGTAAACCCAGAGGAAATCTAAGTTTCCAAGATTTCCTTTTCTGTCTCTTTTTTGTGGCTGTGATAGTTTTGTGTCCGTAAGTGAGCCACTAGTGAGAGTTGAAAAGAGGGAACCACACCTTTTAGGAGGTGGAAGTCAGGGCAGAGATAGAAAATAAGAGATAGTGTTTTGTCTGGAAGGATCGCTCATGGCTCAGATTTTTGTAGGCTTTGCAAATCCTCCATTCTGTCCCAGCAGGTTTCCGATCATTTGAGACGAGAGCTCTTCAGCTAGAAGTTGTTCCCAGGAAGACACCAAACACTTGTTCTTATTTCCAAATTCTGTGAATCTGGTTATTTGTTCTCTGTTGCTGTAGCCTCCTCATTGCTCACTGCTTTTGGAAGTGTTAGATTGGCAGATGTGTTGTGTGGGAGTGAGGAAAGGAAATTTCCTATGTTAATTTCTTTCTGACAAGCACATGTGCAAATCTAGACACAGCTTCTTGAACAAAAAAGAAACGGATGAAAGAAAAGAAAAAATCTGGCCAGGCACGGTGGCTCACACCTGTAATCCCAGCACTTTGGGAGGCCAAGGTGGGTGGATCACCTGAGATCAGGAGTTTGAGACCAGCTTGGCCAACATAGTGAAACCCTGTCTCTAAAAAAATTCAAAAATTAGCTGGGCATGGTGGTGTGCACCTGTAATCCCAGCTACTCGGGAGGCTGAGGTGGGAGACTCACTTGAACCCTAGAGGAAGAGGTTGCAGTGAGCCAAGATTGTGCCACAGCACTCTAGCCTGGGCAACAGAGTGAGACTCCGAATCAAAAAAAGAAAAGAAAAAATCAATATTCCTTAGTCCATGTGTGTATGTGTGTGTGAGATTTCCATACAGAAAAGATTTCTGTTTCGTGGAAACAATATTTTAGCATTAGCATTACAGTTAACTCATGATACCAATCTTTTATCCTCTTGATGCCTCAGATTTATTAACTATAGAATGGATATAGTGATGCTTGTTATCCAGCCCTCAGAATAATAGAAACAGTGCTCTGTTGAAGAAATAGATTACATTCATAAAGTTTTTTGAAAACTTCATCTGAGCATGGTGGCTCATGCCTGTAATCCCAAGCATTTTTAGAGGCTGAGTGGGGAGGATCCCTGGAACCCAGGAGTTTGAGACAAGCCTAGGCAACATGGTGAAACCAAAAAAATACAAAAATTATCTGGATATGGTGGTGCACACCTGTAGTCCCAGCTACTCAAGAGGCTGAGGTGGGAGAATCATTTGAGCCCCGGAGGTCAAGTCTGCAGTGAGCTGAGATCACGCCATTGCACTTCAGCCTGGACGATAGAGCGAGACTCTGTCAAAAAAACCCAAACCAAAACAAAACAACTTCCATACGCTACATTCATGAAGTAGGAACTATGGCTGTTACTACAGAATTGCTTTGGTAAGAGAAAGATGAGTCATGGAATGCAAGAACCATTTTCCTCCTGGCTTTCGAAACTCTAAGCCCCGCTCTCCCAGTGTGCCGGTTTGTTGGTGGCAAGATAAATATCACTTCCATTAACTAAAGAGAAGAAAAAGTTGTTTGCAGTCCATCAGTGTTTTGCCTGGGCGATTTTCTCCTGATGTAGAAAGCGTACCCTGGAGGGCACGAGGTTACGTGCTGTTTTGCCCCTGCCAAAGGTGGCCCAAGTCTGAAGCCCGCCCAGCAGACGCCTCCTGAAGAACAATTTGCTCTTCTCCTTCTGGCTCTTACTCAGCAGGTACGCTCTTAGAGGCAGCCTCTGCCACTTGCAGCACCCCTGGTGGATTTTATTTTTTAAATAGCAACAATTCTAAGACCTTTTTCAAGGAAGGCTTTTCCAGAGCTTGATCTGGAACATCACTGGGCAGACTGAGGTAGTCATTTCCTCTGTTACTAGTTTGAAGCCAATCAAGTAACTGCCTGTCCCCAGGCCTCTTGGGTTAGGGTCTGATATGGTTAGACTCTGTGTCCCCACCCAAACCTCAGATTGAATTGTAATCTGAATTGTAAACCCCATATGTTGGGGGAGGGACCTCGTGGGAGGTGATTGGATCATGGGGGCAGTTTCCCCCATGTTGTTCTCATGATAGTGAGTGAGTTCTCAGGAGATCTTATGGTTTTATAAGGGGCTCTTCCTTGTTTGCTCTGCACTTCTCTCTCCTGCTGCCTTATGAAGAAGGTGCTGCTTCCCCTTCCACCATGATTGTAAGTTTCCTGAGGCCTCCCCAGCCATGCTGAACTGTGAGTCAATTAAACCTCTTTCCTTTATAGATTACCCAGTCTCGGATATTTCTTTATAGCAGTATGAGAATGGACTAATACAGGGTCCCACTGCCTGTGTGAAGGGGAGCATTGTGGCAGCACCCGGGGTGATCCTATCCTGAACCCCATCCCTTTTGCTCTGCGGCTATCCCTTGACCTCAACCTCAGCATTCTTTTAAGGGAAAGCACCGTGAGCTATGAAGAAACCAGATGGTGGAATTTTAATAAAACCAAAAACATAAGCCAGGAAACCACTAGACCTGTTCTTTGAATGACTCACAGTGGCTGCCATCACTGGTGGTGAAACCAATCTATGTGGTGAGGTTTAGCACATGTCCAGCTTTAAAATGAATGGCCAAGGGTATTTTCCCACCCAAAGCTAAGATGAACTAGCTGCACATGGATATTCATGGCTCTTATTGATCTGATACACTCTGGCCCAATTGATCGACTCATGTTTGAATCCCAGTTCTGCCTCTTACTAGCTGCATGACTTTGGGTAGTGCCTTACCTTCTCTGGAACTCAGTTTTCCTCCTCTGTAGAGTGGAGATGTCTGCCTTCTAGGGTTCTGCTTCAGATTAAATGCCATAACCCAGATAACACACTTCAGAACAGAGCCTAGTGTACCGTAAGCACTAGTAAATGAATATGGTATTGTTATCTTATTATTTTTCAGAGTCAGCTAGCATTTAATAAATGTTCTATGTGTGCTCAGCATTGCACTAAGTCTTTATGTAATATTTTGTTTATTCCTCACAATGATCTCATGAGCAGGAGGTTAAGGAACTTGCCCAAAGTCAAACAGTAATCGTGATAGAGCTAACAATCTTAATATAAATTAAACTGACTCCAAATTATTATACAGCCTTCTGCAATATTATTAGATGGTCTCTACACCCGCAATGAAGCCTACAGTTAGTGAGCATATCATACTTAATGACAGAATCCCAGGGTACACATTGCAGTCTCTGCCTTTTGTGATTGGATGGGCTGTTTGGTAGCGGACACCACGGAATACACATTGAGGCAGGGAGCTCTGAGACTGGGGAGAGGCTCCAAGAGAACACTCAGTAAGAGGATATACTAGGCTGGGCATGGTGGCTCACGCCTGTAATCCAAGCAATTTGGGAAGGTGAGGCGGGTGGATCACCTGAGGTCAGGAGTTTGAGACCAGCCTGACGAACATGGTGAAACCCTATCTCTACTAAAAATAGAAAATTTAGCCGGGCATGGTGGTGCACACCTGTAATCTCATCTACTCAGGAGACTGAGGGAGGAGAATCACTTGAACCCAGGAGGTGGAAGTTGCAGTGAGCCAAGATTGCACCATTGCACCCCAGCCTGGGCGACCGAGAGAGACTCCGTCAAAAAAAAAAAAAAAGGGATATACTTTGCCCCTACATCCAGGAAAGTCAGTAACACTTTTCCCACCTCAGTTGCAGAAGACATTCTGTGGGCATCTTTGGTAGAAACAGCATTCACATTCCCCACTGAGGGCCGAGTGGAGGGGCCTTCCATGGTCTAGTCAGCTGCTCAAGGATGAGACCAAAGTGGGTACGGGAGGGGTCACTAGTCATTGAAAGGTCAGGCAGGAGCATCAATGTACTGATCAAGGCAAAGCCCAGAAGTGGGCATGTGGCCAGAAGCTGGGCTCAAAACATAACAGGGATCCCAGTGTGAGGAGGCCAGAGTTGAGGGCAGCAATTCTGACCATGTAGACAGAGTCCAGGCTGGGGAAGGGACCACAAGGGAAACACCTGGTGACTCTGGCATGGGTCTTAGCACTGCCAGATATTACACACACACACACACACACACACACACACACACACACACTCTTCATATCTATCTATCTATCATCATCATCATCATCATCATCATTTTATATATATAAAAACCTGTTGAAAATAATAGCTCTGAATTATTGGAGATAAATGAATGTTTCCAAAAGAGATGGAAAGATTCAAAGAGTTAATTTCACCTCTGTCTTCTGCCAGCTTCTTATAGCAGTTTTGATTAGACAAGAGCCATCACGGTTTATTAAAAATAAACAAAGCCAAGATGCGCCAGAAATAGATGAAAACCTGGTTCATTTGTCTTGCCTCCGTCTCATTCCTGTTACATCTCCATGTCATGCAGTTAGTTGTCTGTCCAAAACAGTTTCTATTTTTAAAGCAACAGAGGATACTTTTCAGGCTTGGGTTAGAGAGGCCTCTCTTTGGACCAATGGTCCCTCACGGTGTGTGGCAAGCCCCCTCTGCCCCCTTGGGTTGGTGAGCGGAGAGTTCTTTTAAGCCTAATGTCCTGCAGAAATTATCTGGGAAATCTGTTAAAACAGAGTCTGGTCTGAAAGTGAAACATCTCCTTTCCGCTTTTCTTATGCCTTTAATGGTTTTTTAAACTACTATATTTAGACGCAGAAAAAAAATAACTGAGGCAAGATGGTTCTGGTTTGGAAAAAGCCAGAGAGAGAGAGAGAGAAAGAGAGAGAGAGAGGTTAGGATATAAGCCTAAATGCTATCAAATGCCTAGTGTTTAGTAGTTATGAAACCGAGGCATCAACTTAATATCCTTCTCCCAGCAAATTATCCAGGGCAAAGTCATCGCTGGGGCCAGAACCTTTTCAACAGATTGGACTCGCTACATGGTGCTGACCCAGAAGGGTGAGTCAGTTGGTAGTGTGGGGTGCATGAGGGCCATTGCAGGTTTTGATAATTACCCTTTATTTTAATTTGATCATACTTTTTTGTTTATAACCTTATTCTAAAAATAATTCAAGGTGACCATGCTTCCATTATACTTCTTGCAACCATACCTATCTTTGGTGATATTTATTATGTTAAGGGACAATTGGCATCTTTTGGCCCTTACCTGTAGCTATTCTATCATCTGGAGATTATCTCCAGACACAAATCCATCGCCCATTGCTCCATCGAGGCACACTCAGCTCTTTGTAGTTGCCATTTGCCCCTCTCGAGCCTTCTCCACATAGCCACATGCAATCCATTCCCAAAAACCTAGCTCAATTTCCTCATCACAGATGTTTTCCCTGACCCTCCAGTTGGTATATATCTCTTCCTTTTTTTTTGGTTTTTTTGTTTTGTTTTGTTTGTGTTTTGAGATGGAGTCTTTCTCTGTTGCACAGGCTGGAGTGCAGTGGTTGAATTTCGGCTCACTGCAACCTCTGCCTCCCAGGTTCAAGCGATTCTCCTGCCTCGGCCTCCCGAATAGCTGGGATTACAGGTGCGTACCACCATGCCTGGCTAATTTTTGTGTTTTTAGTAGAGACAGTGTTTCACCATGTTGGCCAGGCTGGCCTCGAACTCCTGACCTCAGGTGATCCACCCGCCTCAGCCTCCCAGAGTGTTCGGATTAGAGGCATGAGCCACTGTGCCTGGTTTATGTCTTCCTTTACAAATTCCTTGACATATTGGCTGTATTACACAATGAGTGACTTGCTAGATCAGTTATATGCTGATGTATGCATGTATGTACAGTATATACACACATGGATATGCACATTTATAGGCTGGGCCTGGTGGCTCATGCCTATACTCCCAGCACTTTGGGAGGCCGAGGCAGGCGGATCACCTGAGGTCAGGAGTTCGAGACTAGCCTGGCCAACATGGTGAAACCCAGTCTCTACTAAAAATACAAAAATTAGCCAGGTGTGGTGGCACATGCCCGTACTCCCAGCTAGTTGGGAGGTTGAGGCAGGAGAATCGCTTGAACCCGGGACGTGGAGGTTGCAGTGAGCTGAGATGCACCACTGTACTTCAGCCCGGATGATGTGATGAGATTCCATATCAAAAAAGAAAGAAAGAAAGAAAAAAAGATATGCACATTTGTAAATAGACATTGTCTGAATATAATATTGTTTTATCTGCCGAAGGTTTTATTTGTGCATTGAGTCTCCAGTGTGGGCCAGGGAGGCCCCTGTTCTGGGCTTGGAGGGCCTTGCCCAGGCCCTTCAGTTGCTGTGTCTCCCTGTGGGGTGAGGCGTCCAAGGGTCAAGTGGGGGCACCTCCTACTTTCTATGGGCCATGCTCTGGGCACCCGGGGGCGGAAACTCCTTGCCCAGAAGACCCTGAGCCCCTTACGGAGGCTGCACAGGCTCTTCCTTGGGTTTAGTCTCCCCAGCGCTACCTGCGCTGCTTGGGGTAGGCACCCCCGGGACTGAGGGAGGGTCGGGGACTGTATGGAAGGAGGATGGGGCGATTAGTGCTTGGACAGGCAGGCTGGGCTGTCCCCTCCAAGTGACAGGGAACAGAGGCAGGGGTGGAAAAGAAGCCAAGGAAGGCAGGGCTGCAGGCAGGGTGAGGAAGACCCGGGGGTCCAGGTATCCTGAATCGGAAGTTGTCCTCCCAGGTTGTCACGAAGTGTGTTTGTGAAGGAAGGAGGATAGAAGCCATTTGGTTTAAGTTTTTACCTTAATTTGTAACCTTTACATATTTAGGTGGGTGATGAGTGGGCCTCTGTTATACTTTTGTCCTAAATGCCACAAATGTTGGGGGCTTTTCACCTCAATGAAACTATAAGCTCTTGTCAGCGGTGTTTAAAAACTGTTGTTATTTTTTTGAGAGGTGGGGTCTCACTCTGTTGCCCAGGCTGGAGTGCAGTGGTGTGATCATAGCTCACTGCAGCCTCAAACTCCTAGGCTCAAGCGATCTGCCTGCCTTAGCCTTCTGAGTAGCTAGGACTACAGGCCCGCACCACCACACCTGGCTACTTTATTTATTTATTTATTTATGTAGAGACAGAGTTTCACTATGTTACCTGGGTTACTTTTGAACTCCTGGCCTCAAGTGATCCTCCCACCCCAGCCTCCCAAAGGTTGGGATTACAAGTGTGAGCCACCACGCCTTGCCTAAAACATGTTTTTATTTTATTTTTTTGTAACTGTAGTGCTTAAGGTCTGACTTCAAGTAACTGAAAGGATGTTTTTGGGGGTAATTTCAGAGAAAAACTTTGTTCTACCATTCACCTTATCCCTCTCCCAAATGAATATTTTTCCTGTCTAGAGTGTGTGTCTGTTGCGGGGGTGGTGGATAAATGTGGCGGATATCTATAAATGTCTAGGTTGAATTCAGCAGCTTCACAGATAATTATATAAAATCATTTTGATCAATATTCAGTTCATCTCAACAATTAATATTTTTTCAGTCTAAAATGTATTATCTTTTACTTCCATATACTAACCCTACTCTTCCCCTCTGTTATCATCTTCCATTGATAATTTCCCAGAAATCAATTATTAAGTGTGCTGCATATGTAGTAGACATAGTGAACAATACATGTGATCTTTATTCAGAACCTAGTTGTGTGCTTGGCACAATGAGAGAACAAATCAGAAGCCTCCCAGGTTCAAGTGATTCTCCTGCCTCAGCCTCCTGAGTAGCTGGGATCACAGGCGTGCACCACCATGCCCAGCTAATTTTTGTATTTTCAGTAGAGACGAGTTTCACCATTTTGGCCAGGCTAGTCTCAAACTCCTGACCTCAAGTGATCTGCCCGCCTCGGCCTTCCAAAGTGCTGGGATTATAGGCGTGAGCCACTGCGCCTGGCCAGTGCTTTCATTTTTATTAGTCCATTTGGTTGTCATAAACTCTTAAAGGGAGACACTATCATCCCCATTTTATAAAAGGGAAAATTTAGGCTCAGAGAGGCCTAGTGGCTTGCCCAAGGTCACACTGCTGTGAAGCAGAAAGGCCAGGCCGAGAGTGAAGGTATTCTGACTTTGAGTGCAGGCCTCTTCACATGTGGCTTGCCCACCTCAGGCACCCAGGACCATACTTTTGTCATAAATAATCACAAACATTTCAGTTGATGGATAGAACTTCGGTGGAAGATAAATTTCCTAGGGGGTGGAGTTAAGTTGGTAAAGAAATGAGATGGCCAGTAGGAAACCTCAGTCCATGAAAAGATTTTTGTTTATCAAATGCATCCATGAGTTTCCCACCAAACATAGGTTGACCTGAAGGTCAGGTAAAAAGAGGAGGGAAAGAGAATACTATACGCGGTATATTATATTAATATTATTCCACTTGCTTTTAAGCCCACTTTTAAAAAATCAGATTTATTGAGGCATAATTTACATAAAATAAAATTCATCCACTATAAGTGAACAGTTGGATGGGTTTGGCAAATATGTTCAATGGGGAAAACGTCATCACAGTTATAATAAGACTTCTGTCCCCCTGACATCATCTCCTGTTCCCATTTGAAGTCAATCCTTTCCCCTTCCCCAGCTCCTGGTAGCCACCCATCTGCTGTCACTATAGTTTTGCCTTTTCCAGAATTTCATATAAATGGAATCATACAATATGCAGTCTGTCGTATCTACCTTCTCTCACTTACTTGAGCTTACTTTTCATTGTTTTTATGTTTATTGTTTTAGTCTCTGGGGCACGTGAACTAGGCTTTACTCTCCAAGTGGAATCAAAGGCTGCCGGAATTCCTTCTGACTTGTTATTGATGGAAAATTCATGCAGAGTTAGTAACCTCAGGCAAACTGCTGCTTTGAATTTTTTCCCCAGTACGTTGATGGGCTTGACGTCAGACAGATTTATGGTTTGAATTGCAGCTTTCCCCCTTTCTAACCATGTGAACTTGAGCAAGTTTAATTTCCCTGGTCTGTCGTATTCTCCCCTTTAAACTGGGGATAATAATAATGTGTACCTCATAGGGTTGTTCTGAGGACTAAAGGAGGTTTTACACATAACGCACTTAGCAGTGTCCGCTATATCATAAGAGATTAATAAATATGGTGATTATTTAGGCACAGACTTTGTATCTGCCACCTGTCTAATCAGAGGACTTCTGCTTGGGATGGATGAGGGGAGTTGAAGGAAAGGGGCACATTTATGGTATTTCTCAAGCCAGACTAGTATGCAGATTTCTTCCATAACAGATTATGAGCCTTATCTTGTGGTGCTTTTGAGACACACGGTAACACCTTGGGTAAATAGTTATAAACATTAACAAACAAATGTGTTTAAAGAGGAATAGTTCTGAATCCATGAAATATGCTGAGCTAAGCATTAATAAAGAAACAATTGGCTAAATTGTTTCATGAACTTTAGAAATTCCTGAACATTCGGGAGGCTGAGGCAGGAGAATGGCGTGAACCCCGGGGGTAGAGGTTGTAGTGAGCCGAGATCGCGCCACTGCACTCCAGCCTGGGGGTTAGAGCATGAGACTCCGTCTTAAAAAAAAAAAAAAAAAATCCTGAACACTCAATATTCTCTGTCTTCATTTTTGTTTGGAATGTTTTCTTTGCAAACGAAAAGGTCTGGAACTAACCAGCCCGTAAATGGATCAACCATTACTTTAAAAAATAAATAAAAACCTAACCAGTTTGTGAAAAAGTCACATATTTACTGCAAGCCTATTGATGCATCTTGAGAATTGGATTTCAGCCCCCATCCTTGGATTGTAAATAGTCACT
Source organism: Homo sapiens (assembly GCF_000001405.40). Taxonomy (NCBI): domain Eukaryota; kingdom Metazoa; phylum Chordata; class Mammalia; order Primates; family Hominidae; genus Homo; species Homo sapiens. The sequence goes on from NC_000006.12 coordinate 157,450,757, forward strand.
GGCTAAGGCAAGTGTACAAAGAGAAATAAACTGAAAGCAGCCTGGGCTTCCCATAAATATTATCTATGAAATTCTTCAGCCATATTTCCTCAAGGCACAAATCCGTAGTTGGCCTTTTAATAATATTTTACCTTGATTTTAACTTCTCACTGCATCATAGATGTCTTTGTATAAAAACATTTTAGTGTTTTTAATAATTATCATCAATGGTGGGATAAATTTTGATGTCAAAAGTCTGGTCTTGTGTGTGTGTGTGTGTGTGTGTGTGTGTGTGTCTGTGGAGGCTGATTGTGTTCTTTATGGATGAGATCTGACCGCTTGTCAAGGTAAGATGTTGAGACGGATGGGCTGGGATGCATTTGCCACGCTTATGATTTCCAAAGAAACCAATTAACCTTTGCTGTGATCTTGACCTTCTTCAGAGCTTACAGATGCTAATCCTTGGTGCATCTTCCTTTGATAAATTTAGCACAAATCAATATCAGAAATAATAACAATTTTGAGGTATTTGGAGAAGTGGCAAATGGAAGAATAATAACCTTGTCCATTTTTTGTGTCATGTATTGTTGTCTGGGATAGAGAAAGGTGAAATCTATACCTGATCCTTAACATTAAAAGCAGCGTCATCCTAAGACTATGCATTCCAAAAGGGCAGTGTATCCCCAGGTCCTAACACAGTGCTTGGCACGTAGTAGGACCTTTATTTGATAAACGTTGATTTAACATTTATTTATTCAGTAACCATCCACTAATAAATGAGTATATGAATTAATGAAATAATCAATTGCTGAATCAGTAAAAATTATTATTTTTATTATTTTTGAGACAGAGTCTTGCTCTGTCACCCAGGCTGGAGGGCAGTGGCGCAATATCAGCTCACTGCAATCTCCGCCTCCTGGGTTCAAGCGATTCTTGTGCCTCAGCCTCCCGAGTAGCTGGGATTACAGGTGCCCACCACCACACCTGGCTAATTTTTGTATTTTTAGTAGAGGTGGGTTTCTCCATGTTGGCCAGGCTGGTCTTGAACTTCTGGGTTCAAGTGATCCACCCACCTCAGCCTCCCAAAGTGCTGGGATTATAGGCGTGAGCCACTGCGCTCAGCATCTTGAATATTAATAATGGAAGGTGGCATATATTTTTGAGGGGAAGCAAGAAAGCAGGCCAAGGGAACAAAAAGTGCCTGCTTGGGGTCCCTAGGAGTGGGGAGGTCCCTGGGGCTGTGGGGCCCAAAGGGGATGCTGACAGTCTCCAGTGAGCTCTTATGAATAATCCGGAAAGATGGGTTGGCCCTGTAGGGGTTGGACCCATTTAGCACAGTATTGATAACCTGGTCAGTGAGTTCTGAGGCCGAAGTGATGGTGCCCCACTAGCCCCTCCTTCCAGTCAAACTTGACCTTGGACCAGACAGATTTATAGTCTCTGACCTAAGTTTAACCGGTATTTCCTAACTACTTTCCACCTACACTCCTAATTTCCTAAAGTACCTAGTATTTTTTTTTTTTTATAACTAGACTCACTTGAAAAGACTTCAGTTTGTCCATGTACCACTTAAATCACCTGCTGCATGAATCATCCTTTGGGAAAGACTGGCTTACCCAGCTACAACCTGAAATATCCCACCTTTGCTGAAACTCTTACATCTCCAAGCAGTGATGTCTGTGAGACAGGGATCTTTGTTTTGGAGTATGTTTGTGTTGCATATGTTCTGGTGTGGTTATTGCCTAACAAAATTCTATTTTTTTGGAAGATTCATAGCCTTATGTTTAAAAACAGTTGTGTTCTGTGCAACTCTGTAATTTCAGCCTTTCCTTTTGGTAGAGCTTATGATATCTTAATTTTCTATACTGCCAAGGAAATTGGAACTTAGATTTTATAACCCAAATTGAAAGGAAAGGTGTTTGGCAAATCTCATAAAGATCACTAATACATGGGGATTTTTTTTTTTTTTTTTTTTTTTTTTTTTTGAGACGGAGTCTCACTCTGTCACCCAGGCTGGAGTGCAGTGGTGCGATCTCGGCTCACTGCAAGCTCCGCCTCCCGGGTTCAAGCGATTCTCGTGCTTCCATCTCCCGAGTAGCTGGGACTACAGGCATGCACCACCACACCCGGCTAATTTTTTTGTATTTTTAGTAGAGACAGGGTTTCACCGTGTTGGTCAGGCTGGTCTCAAACTCCTAATCTCAAATGATCCACCCGCCTTGGCCTCCCAAAGGGAAGTAATCCTTTTTAATAAAGAAAATGCAGTTGATCCTCCAGAGAAGAGTAATAAGCACAATACTCTTCTTTTCCCCACCCTTCCCCTCTATCTGTTGTATTCCTTTTTTCACATGACAGAGATTGCCTGTCCTACAAATGTCCTGTTGTGAGCTGGGTTTACTTAGGATAACCGTGGGTGTTACTGACTTGGGTGTCTCCAGGTTCTTAGGGGCAGTTTCTTCAGACAGGTATTCCAAAGGGATCTCTACTTCTCATCTATGTTCTTTAGATACCGAAGACATTCTATCTCTGTATTGATCTTTACTTTGAAGCTTTATCAAATTCGAATGACAGGGTATCAATACCCAAAAAACGCTGACAATCCTAAATTCACCCATCTCAGATACTGCACAATAAGGCTTTAAATTCCCATGAACTGTTAACTTTTTCTGTTCTCTCAGACCACTCTGCAGCTGCCTTTCACTTGAACCATCAAAGGGCTTTAATTCTATGGCCCATTTTCACTCAAACTTGAGTTTCATATTTTATTATTTTCTTCTGTATTATAAAAGACCCTCTACTAATCAGACCCCTGGCTTAGATTCACTAGCTATCCTTGACTTCACCTTCATTCATACAGTGAATGTTTATTGAACATCCTTGACTTCAGTGTCATTCATTCAGTAGGTATTTCTTGAGCATCTACTTTGTCCCAGACACAGCGCTAGGTGCTGGAGGTGCAGCATCTTTCCTTTGAAGACCAGATGGGTGACTACCTGGTCCACCTGAACTTCTATTAGATTTTATTCATTCTAAGGCCATTGTTTTTTGTGTTTTGTGTGTGTGTGTGTGTGTGTGTGTGTGTTTGACCATGGATGACTCCACATGTAATATGTGTCTGCTTTACTTCTGGTGGCCGATACCTTCTTTTTTATTCTGCCTCTGAAAATAAGCCTCCTGATTAATTGGCAGCTGTTGTTCAAAACCTTCTTAATGTTTATCTTGAAGCCTTTAGGTGTGGGGTGTGTAACTTAGGTTGAGATTTGGCTGTGACCAATAGGAAAAATATTATTTTCATAGACAATATGGATGTTTCTTTCTTTCAGGCTAGGACTGGCATGGCAGTGCTGCCCCACAAAGTCCTCAAGGCCACAGACTCCTTTTCATTGTTAGCTGTAGCTGGCCTACATCCCTTTGGTTATCTCATAGTCCAGAACAGCTGCTCCAGCTCCAGCCATTGTATCAGCACTTCCATCATCCAAAACATGAAGGGACAAAGAAATAAGATCAAAAGACATGCATCAGCCATTCTTTAAGCACTGCCTACATATTTTCCTTGGTATGTTCTCAATATTTACTACTTTTAAAGGCACTTGTCTTCTAACATCAAGGAGTAATTCCCTGTTATCTCTCTACTTTATGTTAACATACCACACTCTTTAATTTCAGAAGACTCCTTGCTATGAAATGTGTGTATCCCTAAGAAAAAGAAGAAAAATGCAACATAACATTACTGATTTTAAAATGCTTTTAATGCAGCTTCTTCTTTTTTTTTTTTTTTTTTGCCACGAGTCTCACCCTGTTTCCCAGGCTAGAGTTCAGTGGTGGTGTGATCCTAGCTCACTGCAGCCTTGAACTCCTTGGCTCAAGTGATTCTCCCACCGCCTCAGCCTCCCCAAGTGCTGGGATTACAAGCGTGAGCCATGGGACCTGGCCTTAATGCATCTTTAAACATGAACTGACACAATTTAAAGAGCAAATAGATATAAATGCTCTAATTTTTCTTTTAGCACATAAAAAGCATCTGAAAATTTTGATAGTTTCTGCCATGTTAATGGAGTTATTTAATAGAAGCCACAGGCCAAGCAGTTATTTTCTTTTGTTAATGCTGTATTTGATGCTGACATGGTGTTAAATATTCCTAAGCCCCAGCAGAAGCACAATATTGATTTCAGTTGGACCAGAAAGCATCCTTTTGTGAGTGCCTCTGACAGTCCTGTGAACAATGCTGTTGGTTACTCTGGGCTGAAAACAGGCCTCAGTTTCAGTGTCACCATTTTAACACTCTCATTTATCGCAAACTGACGGGCCCATCCATTCTAGCTGCACATCTGTGGCCTGATGTTTCCTGGGAGGCGCAGCCAGGCCACTTTGAAAGGCAGCAAAAAGCTTTTAGGAGTGAACTGAGCAGGGCAGTCACTGCAGTATCATTGCCTCCCGAAGTTCTTGAAGCATTTCCCAGTCTGCATGGGCAGGAGGACCCAGGGTTTGTGATGAGCACCTGCTGCAGAAAGACTCGGTCTTCCTGAAGATGTGAGGCAGCAGAAGTGCTCTAGAGATGCCTTCACAAGGGCAGAGTGATCAGTCACCATGCCTTAGAGGCAAAGCACTCAGGAACTGAGAAAAGACAAAAGCAGGGGAGGAAAGCGTTCTGGCCTGGAAGGGTGACGCTGGCATGGGGGTTCCTGTTGAGTGCCTTTCCTCATTGTCCTTCCTACCCTGAATGAAGCAGGTGAACCACATGGGAAATCTGTCCAGACTTTTGGCAGACAGTGAGTTTTCTCCAGGTCTTTCTTAAGTCTGGAGGCCCTGATGCCGCCGGCCTTTGTGCTTGCGTTTGTGTTGTTTTCTAGATCCTGGAGTTACAGTGAGCTGGGGGTCCTGTTGAGGGGCTGGTTAGAGCCTTGCAGCTTCCCACCTGGCACACCCCTCGCTCCTCCGGCAGGAACCGGGCCATTTCGGGGACATTGTAATTTTCTTCATGAGGAACAGAATGTGATCTTTCTTACAGTCAACTGGGGATACAAGCGGCTCTTGTTAGAAGGAAAACGACTGTAGAACACAGCATTTTCTCTCAGATAAAGCAGTTAGTTTTAGAAAGGAAATTAGAGAGAGAAAGTAACACGTTGGCCCATTGTGTGTCTGAGCGGCGCTCTGCCTGCAGCTATCTCCGTGTCAATGGCATCCTTTGATAGTCGCAGTGGACCGGGTCACACCCCTTTAATCTGACTTGTGGGGGAAAGAAGAGAATTATCCTTAGGCCTCAGAGAAAGAACAGAGGAAATGGGAGTTTTGCTTTTTCGGCGAGGATTTAGGTTTCATCGGAGTTCATTTATGTTTGCAGATTGCGCCCTCCGTTATGAAAACACATCCTTTCCTTCTACTCCCGGAGGAGGCCTGCTGCGGGAGGGAAGCTCTTCCTGACCTCTGCCTCCCCGAGGAGGCTGCCACGGCGCGTGGCCCTAGATTCTGACAGAGGTACTGGGCTTGGGTTTGAGCAAAAGCAAAGACAGTTCCAGTGATGTGTCCTGTTAGCCCTTCGATTTTAGCATTTTCGGTTGATTGGCCTGAAAACAGGTGCTGCTCAGGCAGCTCGTGATCCACTTGGCCCTCTCCTCGTTCATCCTGGGGCTGCCAAAGCAATGGGTAGAGAATCAAGGCCTGGCCTAGAGTCCAGGCTCTCCCTAGTCATAAGTGTGGGATGTTGCCTCCCCCATGGAGCCAGGGTTTTTGCAAAGTGGGAAGGACAGTAGCTACCTAAAACGGCACTCAGCGCTGTTAGGGACCTGACGTGACATTATTTATTCGAGAACACCCTTAAAACTGTCAAGAATTGAGTAAGACAAAGCACCACCATGTTTCTCCCTGGCAGTACGAGCTGCTTCAGAGAGCAGGTGTGGGCAGAGAGAGGAAGTGAGCCTTATCAGCCTGATCTTTCAGTCAGGTTTTTACATTTTTTTAAAAAGAAGTTTGGAAATTTACCAAGGGAGGAGGAGATTGAAGAAGAATTTTACAATTATTTGGAGAATTCAGTGAACCGTTCTGTTTCTGTCCACCTCTTTTTGAAATTACTGAGAAGTAACGTTTTCATTAGTAATCGCATTACATGTGCTGGTACAAAGACTGAGTTGTGGGCCGGGCGTGGTGGCTCATGCCTGTAATCCCAGCCCCTTCGGAAGGCCAAGGCGGGTGGATCACCTGATGTCAGGAGTTCGAGAGCAGCCTGGCCAACATGGTGAAACTCTGTCTCTACTAAAAATACAATAATAAATAAATAAATAAATAAATAAATATTAGCCAGGTGTGGTGCATGCGCCTATAGTTCCAGCTACTTGGGAGGCTGAGGCAGGAGAATCGCTTGAACTCGGGAGGTGGAGATTGCAGTGAGCCGAGATTGCACCATTGCACTCCAGCCTGGGTGACAAGAGTGAAACTCCATCTAAAAAAAAAAAAAAAAAAAGACCGAGTTGGGATGGGCACTTTTTTGGCGCCAGAGTGGGCCACAGACTGAGATTCTGTGGTTGAGGTGTTTATCAGGGCTTCCAGCGTGGGCTCTGGGAACTTCATTTGTTTGGCCACAGCAAATAGAAATGGAGCCCAGGAGTGGGAATGCTAGCTGGTATTGTAAAATCTGTTTTGTGATCATTTGGGAATGCCATTCCCTGGAACTGGAGTATGAAACTGGAAATTTGCTCTAAGAATTCTGGAGAACTATCCTATCATGTTTTAAAACGGACAATAAAGCCTGTACTGTTCTTACTTTCTGCCTTTGTCAGCAAGTAGGAGTACACAAAAATGAAGTAAAGATGTTACAATATTCACTGGAATATTTATCAATCATTTAAGTATTATACCACTGCTTTTTTCATAATCCTGAAATGATGGAAATGTGATTTTACTGTGAACTATTAGTCAGTGATATTCATGTCCAAAATTATGCCTGGGACCAAATTGCCCTTGGCATCGGGGGTCTCTTTGGGGTCTGACATGTAGATCCTGTATAGATTCTGTGTTCCTGGTTTTACTGTTTCTGAGTGGGTCTCATCCACTGGCCACTGCCTGGCCTCTACCACTTGCGCCCTCAACCAAATGCAGCATTGAGAGACGGTCCCCTGACCACTGAGCCTCAACTGCCATGCTGAGGTTTTACAGCTGGGGGGCTGGGTTGTGTCTGCCCCAGGGCCAAGGAGGAGCAAATTTGGACAAATTAAAAACCAATGCCAAGATAACCAACTCATAAAAGGCTCGTGAGCATATCTGCTTAGACTGGCTTTGCAGGAAAGATAAATAAATAGCAGACTACCTGCCCCCCACTTTCCATCCCATACTCTCAGGCGGATATGCCTCCTCTTTCTGCACTCGGTATGTGTAGAATCTGGTTATTGACATTTATTTATGTTTATGCCTAGAGGAGTGTTTTTGCGGAAGCAGGGTAGGTAGAAGAAGGGAGGATTATTCGGGGTAATTTTATGTGATTGCTAACAAACATCTTTTTCCTCTTCATAGTTCCCATGGTGATTTTTTTCATTCGGTGTAGCATTGATCTTGTGGGCTTTAATTAGACCCTAATAGTCCCCAAGAGCAGAGAGTGTTGCAGTTCGTTAGTATCTGTTTTTATTTAATGTTTGTGGATGGGCGGACAACATGAAATGGTAGAAAATCTATTCTGTTGGTATCTGTTACATTGCTTGATATAATCACAGGAATATAAGAGTAGCATGAAAGGAAAAAATTAATAATAAATAATTTTGCTTTTTTCCCTCTTGAAAATGTCAATTCAAAAAATTCTTTTGGGATTATCTAGTTAAAATGTTGGTTTTAAAGAAATCGCAAAAGAGGATAGACCACAGGAGTTCTCAGTGTCGGGGGCTTGGCCTGGGGCAGGTGGGGGCTGTGGGGCTCCTGCAAGGGATCAAGGACCTGGCATGGTCTGCAAACAATGAGTGGCGCATCTTGTGTAGATGTGAGTGCTAGTGCCTTCTCCAAGTGCATATAGATCCTGTTGTGACTAATCAAACATAAACTCAATTAAAAGCATCACTCAATTTACGATATAACTATGTATTTCCTCAATAACCAAAAGATGTAAAATACAGGTACTAGCAAATGTGGGTGGATTTTTTTTTTTTTTTTTTTTTTGAGACGGAGTTTCGCTCTTGTTGCCCATGCTGGAGTGCAGTGGCATTATCTCGGCTCACTGCAAACTCCATCTCCCAGGTTCAAGCTATTCTCCTGCCTCAGCCTCCCAAGTAGATTACAGGCATGCACCACCATGCCTGGGTAATTTTGTATTTTTATTTTTAGTAGAGACAGGGTTTCTCCATGTTGGTCAGGCTGGTCTCAAGATAGTTTCTATACATATATCCATGCAATGGCCAGGAACCACCGTTCTTAACTGTTTACCAGAGTAGTGTTGATCTGTATTACATCGTAGATAAATGCAGAATAAAGGTATTTCTCCAGCAGTGTTGATGAAAGAACATTCTGGAAAACAAATTGTTGACGTTCATCATAATGTAGAAGGTGTAGCTCCTGCTGTTCTGCCTAGATGACAGAGCTCCAAGTGACCATTTGATGATGGCAGCAAGACTTAGAAACAAAATAAGAGATCCCCTTCTTCACCAGCTGTTAATGTTTTCCATAGGGTGAGGAGGGAGGCAAACGTCTTGTTTCTGTGGTGGTGGCTGGAAGTTTGGAGACTTTGTTGGAGGGACAGTATGAGTCACAGAAGAACAAGACACCTTGTATTGTGTGACAGTGGAGTGTGAACAAGCTTTGCACACGTGTGGGCGGCCCTCGCTGGTGAATGCTGCCTGTAAACTGATAAGGGAAGAGTTGGGGTTTCCAGGGAGCTTGGAGCAGAGGTAGCTAGAGAGAGCCTCAGGGTGGGAGCCTCTAGAATGGGTAAGCTCAGTGAGCCTGGCAGGTGGTGGGGTGGCCTGTGCGCCCCAAGTGGGGTGCAGGGGTAGATGGGGGGACAGCTAATGAGCAAGGTGTCCACTTCATTCCTCTGGGTTGATCAGTCAACATCAAACTGTGATGTCCTTTAAAAAGTCATCTGGCCAGGCATGGTGGCTCACACCTGTAATCCCAGCACTGTAGGATGCCAAGACAGGAGGATCACTTGAGGCCAGGAGTTTGAGACCAGCCTGGGCAACATAGCAAAAGCTCTGTCCCTGCTAAAAATTGAAAAATTAGGCCGGGCGTGGTGTCTCATGCCTGTAATCCCAGCACTTTGGGAGGCTGAGGTAGGAGGATCACTTGAGGTCAGGAGTTCGAGACCAACCTGGCCAACATAGTGAAACCCTGTCTCTACTAAAAATACAAAAAAAAAAAAAAAAAAATAGCCAGGTCTAGCTACTTGGGGGGCTGAGGCAGGAGAATCGCCTGAACCCGGGAGGCAGAAGTTGCAGTGAGCCGAGATTGCGCCACTGCACTCCAGCCTGGGCAACAGAGTGAGACTCCATCTTAAAACAAAAACAAAAACAAAAAACAAAACAAAACAAAATGTAAAAAATTAGCCAAGCATGGCGGTGTGCACCTGTACTCCCAGCTACTTGGGAGGCTGAGGTGGGAGGATTGCTTGAGCCCATGAAGTTGAGACTGCAGTGAGCTATGATCACACCACTGCACTCCAGCCTGGGCAACAGAGCCAGACTCACTCTCTCTCTGGAAAAAAAAAAAAAAAAAAAAAAAAAAAAAAGAGTCATTCCTATGTTGTGCATATCTTTCTGTGTCTGCTTCTCCAAAGAGTGCTGTTGATACCCACATAGGTATTCTTGAATTCCTATGACAAGGAGTTCTGAAGAAGCTCGCTGCCTGAGTAATAAAACAATAGACTCTCCATGTAGGAAAGGAATCATTTAGATGACCTCAAATCCAATTTCCCATATGCCATGCAGGAATTCTTCTGTAGGAAAGCTTCTCAGAAGTCTGGAATGTGTGTCATTTTAATCAAGAGTTGCAGTTCTTAGTTGTACCCTTAAGTTATATGGAGGCAGAAATAATGTGACTAACACTGGGCCCCGTGTGGAAACATCCCCCGTTTGCTTATGGCTGGGGATGGGTTAGAGACAGCAGGCGAGGAGGGTTTCCCTGAAGATGCAGGGGTGCAGGCCGATGTGGGCCTTCTTACACGGTCCTAGGCCCAGTTGTGTTTCTCCCTGCTAGCACGGGTTGGCAACAGGAGACACCCAGATCATCCCTTTATCTATTTTTTCCTGTATAGGACAATGCATAAAGCATGCATGTGCTCGAGAAGGCTTCCTTTTCCTGACTGGCAGCCACAGCAATTGGCATAGCAAGCAGCAAAGTAAGGCCTGGTTAAAATGCACATGCAATTCATAGCGGGGCCTCTGATGTCATTGCTGTGGACTTTTGTTTTTAGAACCTGAAAAACACACGTCCTCCAGGGGCCTGGGAAATTCCCAGGTGGCCACCACCGTAAACAGTATCTCATTGAGTTTGACTAAACTGTGGCAGGAGTTCACGCTTCTAACCACCACTGATACAAGGTGAGAAGGGGTCGGCATGGGGAAAGATGCCTTTGAAAGGCCATCTGTGGGCAAAGTCTCGTGCCCCTCTGTGAATGCATTTGATGTAAATTTTTGTTCCTCTTGGTTGAATAAATATTGTTACTAAAAATAGCTTTAAAAGGACATCAGGATACAGCTGGAGCAAGACAAAGGAAGCAGGGCAGATTGCTGTGGGTTTTGGAACTTTGCTTTCCTGAACGCATTGTACGTGTACAGTCCGTTACGGCCCAGCCCCATCACTCATGTCATTCCCAGAGGCAAAGGCATTTGGATTAGTGAAATGCAGCCTCCCTAGTCCTGCCCCTGAGTTCCTAGTTATCTCTGTAACAGCAGCTACACCTTGGGTTAGGGTCTTGAAGTTAGCAGCCTCCGCCCCACCCTGATAGACAGACATATTCTCCTTCTAGATAGGAAATAAAAAGCAGAGGATGCCTGTTGGAGAACAGAGCTGGGCAGCAGAGGGTGGGCAGGTGGCAATGTGGTGATACCCTCTCCACCCTGTGGGGGACGCCAGTTCCTGCACTTCCCATCCAGCCGCTGGGTGCACTGCCACAGTCACGGCTTGCAGAATGAAGGATTTATTAGTCATGGAAACTGGCCTCGGAGCACCGTGCCCCCACTAGAGGCACAGCGGTTCTGGGTCTTGAGATCCTCATACACTAAAGGTCTGCCACAAATTTAGGATCATCTTCATGCTTTGTAAAAAAATTTTTTAAACCCCTGTTGGGTCAGATCCTGGTCTATCATGCGACGGTGGCACCAGAGGGGGCTCTGCAGGGGGCATCAGACAACCTCATTTCCCTTAATACAACTCACTATAGATCTGTGAGTTCACATAGTTTCTGAGCTTATTTATAGTTTCAGCCTCTTCAGTGTCCTCTGTGTTGTCATGAATTTTCCACCATCGTGTAAAGTTAGCTCTTTTTCTTACTTACCCTGAATCTGCCTCCTTCAGTTCAAAGTGGTCTCCTTAGCTCTGGGGTTTCAGAGTTGACGGACATGCCTGTTCACCCTTTCTATTCTTTTCCAGTATATTTTCTAGTGAGATTCACTGTAGGTTTCCACAAGATGAACACTAACTGGAGCGATGAGTGCCTTGTGGATCCTTCAAGGATTTCAACAGCAAAGTTACCTCGAGCCATAAGCCTGCATTATGTTCTGACTTATAAGAAAAGCGATTTTTCTTTCTCTTTGTTGTCATGGGGCTGTCTTCCACCACATTAGGCAAAAAAAGTAGTGCAGTGCCTTGTTTTCAGAGCTTCTGCTGACAAATGAAGATTCCGAGGACTTTTGGGTTAGGCAAAGAAATGTGGTATTCTCTGGCTTCAGAGGATCTCTTTGAGAACCTCTTTGGAGGAGAATGCCTATCCCTGCTTTGCATTATAACTCTTAGAAACAAAAATTATTGTGTTTATAAATCTTCCCTTAGCTGTCTGCTCCTTAAATCGGCTCCTCACAAAGTGGGAAAAGAATCCAGGGTTCTCTGTTTGAAGTGCCCAGCCCAGTGCCCCCCAGCCCTGGAGGGCCTGGCGGGGGCCTCTTCCTGCCCTTCACTGCCTTTTTTCATGGCTGTCTCTGCAGACTCAGCTGAAGTTACCCATTAAGGGGGCTGGATGTTGTGTCGAACAGTACAGTGGTGGTTAATGCTGTTTAATTGTTTAACTGTGACCCTCACAGAATTACCAAGAATAAAATACTGCTGTTTCATTACCAATAAAATTTCCTAAAAGTGCATAAAGATAATTGTAGCTAGGAGTCAGTCTCTTTTCCAGAAAGATTCTTATGTCGGCTGAGTTCAAGTAGGTAGGTGCATGTTATATAGAAAGTTTATTACACGAGTTGTTGGCTATTCAGACATGCACGTGAGGCAGCTGGAAATGAGATCCTTCCATGGGAAATGCTTAGTTTGGAAAATGAAGACCTGAGAACATAAGAAAATAGAAATGTCACAGCCTGTTGTTTCTGTTGTCTCTTCGGTGTTTGGAACATGGCATAGAACAATTGAAATTGGTTTTTCAATAGAAACAATTGAATAGTCCAGATTCATTATTTTTTCCCCTCTTGCTATAAATGAAGATTTATGCAAAATAATCACATTCTCTTTTCCTGCCTATTCTAATGAGCTATTATTATTATTTTAAGACCTCCAGAGGTCTTAAAAGCACCCCAAAATGTGTAGCCCTGCCCCTATACATTTGTATATCCATAGCAGTGCTGTGCTCTCTATCACCCCCAACTCTTCACCAGAGGGGTTGACAGTGACTGAGCCTACAGGAAGAATCATCAGAAAGGAATGTAAGACAGCAGCTCCATCCAGTATTCCCACCTGAAGAAGGTCTTGCCAGGTTAAGATGGCTATTGTGGATAATATACTCTTAGATATAAAATAATTCTCAAGCTAAGCAGATGGTGCTGGCACTTCGTCCCAATGTCTCCCCGCTTTACCTTTCATTAGTCAGATCTGAAAATTAACACCAGCCGGCACAGTGGTTCACATCTGTAATCCCAGCACTTTGGGTGGCTGAGGCAGGCGGATGACCTGAGGTCAGGAGTTCGAGACCAGCCTGGCCAATGTGGTGAAACCCCATCTCTACAAAAAATACAAAAATTAGCCAGGCATTGTGGCTCATGCCTGCAGTCCCAGCTACTCAGGAGGCTGAGGCATGAGAATCACTTGAGTCCAGGAGGTGGAGGTTGCAGTGAGCTGAGATTGCATCACGGCACTCCAGCCTGGGTGACAGAGCAAGATTCTGTCTCAAAAAATAAAATAAAATAAAATAAATTAACACTAATGATGAAACTTTTAAAAGTTGTAGTAAGCAAAGGTAAAAACATAAGCTGTAATAGAAGTTCAGTCCATGTTTAAGTATTTAATCGTGACAACTACATGTATATGTTGAAAATCCTTCTTTAACCTTAGAGTTCTGAAGTTTCTAGAGGTTGGATGGAATTGCTTCCTGCTCTTGAGAAGACTACAACCTGAAATATTCCGTTTGCATGTATATTTTAATACACATACTTTGATAACCTTGTTCTTAAATATATATGCTGAATAGTATCTTTCATCTTAGGACTTTGAAATAATTCATTTATTTGCCTTTTCTCCTCTGACTAAAAAGAGTTATAGTTCATAGTTTCCTCATTCATTCAGACCAGGACTTATTAAATTAGATAATTCCTGATTAGATATTCTATTTCTTAGCTGTGTACATAGTAGGTATTCAGTAAATATTATTGACTTATTTAATGGTTACTTGTGCTCTTCAAATTACACCTGTATATTATGAAGTAGATTTTAGGGTGAATGTATGGGAAGCTATCATTGGTCCAGATTAACTGCTTTTCCCTCTTGTAAATGAATCTATGAAAATTAATCACTTTCTCTTTTCCTGCCTATTCTAATGATCTATTATTGTCTTTAAGCCACCCCAAAACTTAGTGACCCGAAGCAAATTTTGTTCTACTATCTCCTGGTTCTGTGGGTTGACTTGGTTCAGCTGGGCGTTGTCTGGTTAGGCCATTTCATGCAGCTTCTGCCTGATCCTGGCTGCCAGGGCCGTCCGCCCTTGGCTGCCTCCCTCACAAATCTCTCTCGTACGTAGCTGTGACCAGAGCAGCTCAGGGCGGGCCAGCTGTGGCTTCGTCGCAGCAGGGTGGTCTTGGGTAACCAGCCTCTAGGGCCAGTGTTCCAAGAAACCAAGACCAAAGCTGAGCCAGCCTTGAAAGACCCAGGCTTGTGCTTCTGTCACATGCAAGTTCTGGGAGCAGCAAAGAATTTGCAGCCATCTAACCTACCCTGTGACATTCTAAAAAGCAGCGTGTTTTTTTCTCTTTCTCCTTTTTTTTTTTTTTTTTTTTTTTACATTTTAATGGTTGTTTATTGGGTTGAACCAATGAAAAAAAAAGATTTAATTTTCTTTTTAGAAAAACACAAACATGTTCAGTTCTCCTGTTGTGCCATTACATTTTAGATTGTGTTAGTTTCAGATTATACTTAACTTGTCATAAACCAAGTAGAGTACATTTAGGTGCCTACTCTGAAACTAAAAACATCTTAATTTTGTGGTTCTGACTCACTGTTATTTATGAGAGCTTTTCTGAGAATTGTCTCCTTGAGATCAGATCCCTTGGGGGACAGAAAGTCCCTACTGAGTGTGGTAAAAATGCCCAAGCCCATTAAAACAATGGCCACCCCCATAACAATGCATTCTCCCCAGGAACCACACAAAACGGGAAATGAAATAAAATGGATGACTTAGAGTCTTCTTTCCTAGGGAGTCTGGATTGAACCATGGCATCTGGATAGTTAATGCCGTTCTATTTAGCAAGAGATGCTAAAAAAAAAAAAGAAATCTTCAAGGTCAGTCTTCTGTGTAGTGCCATGAGGCTCTCGTTAAAATGTCACGTACCAGGAGATTCTACCCCTGAGGGCAGGTTGGCCTCTGTGCCTTGGTCACTCTCCAGAGGTCTGAACTTGGTAGAGAGAGGTGGGGGCTGGGCGCGATAGCTTATGCCTGTAATCTCAGCACTTTGGGAGGCTGAGGCAGGTGGATCACCTGAGTCCAGGAGTTCAGGATCAGCCTGGCCCACACGGCGAAACCCCGTCCCTACTAAAAATACAAAAATTAGCCGGGCATGGTGGCGGGTGCCTGTAATCCCAGCTACTCGGGAGGCGGAGACACGAAAATCACTTGAACCCGGGAGGCGGAGCTTGCAGTGAGTCGAGATGGTGCCGCTGCACTCCAGCCTGGGCGACAGAGTGAGATTCTGTCTCAAAGAAAAAAAAAAGAGAGAGAGAGATATGGGAAGATAGGCATCTCGCAGGCGGGCCCCACAGCCTGAGAATTTCTTCTACCTTGGCCTGATCCTCAGCTGCCTCTCTGAGCGCACTCATGCTTCTCTAGGGAGGACTGGAGAGGGCCCCTGTGGCTTGCTGTGATGCTGGCTTACCTCTCCCTGGGTAAGTGCAGCTGCCAGCAATGCTGGTTCCCATGGCAATGCAGGGCCCCAAGTGCCATGCAGCAAGGACAGCTCGGTGCGTGCTGTACAGGGCCATCTGCTCCACAGTAGCACCCTCCCATTGACAGGATCACAGCCCATACCTGCGTCCCTGGCCATTGTGGATTCCCAGGGTTTAGGACTGTGCTTGGCACACAGGAGGCACTCAGGAATATTTGTTGACTCAGCAGTAAATGCAGAAATCAAATATGTGTTATTTAAAAAATTGAATTAGTTGTAAAAACCAAAATAAGACAATTTCAACTAAAATTAAATTCTTTTGTTTTTTTGGCCAGGCATGGTGGCTCACGCCTGTGATCCCAGCACTTTGGGTGACCAAGGTGGGCGGATCACCTGAGGCCAGGAGTTCGACACTAGCCTGGCCAGCATGGTGAAACGCCGTCTCTACTAAAAATACAAAAATTAGCTGGGTGTGGTGGCAGGCACCTGTAATTCCAGCTACGTGGGAGGCTGAGGCAGGAGAATCAGTTGAACCCAGGAGATGAAAGCTCGTGAGCCGAGATCACACCACTGCACTACAGTCTGGGCGACAGAGTGAGACTCTTTCTCAAAAAACAAAAAACAAAAAAAATTATTATTTTTTTCTTGAAAAAAATGTTAAAAAAAAAAGTAAAACCTGGCAATACTGGGCCTGAGAGGTCTGGTGGGAACTGCGCAGTAGCTGCCCTCACATGGCGAGGCTCATTCTCCAGGTGACTGAAGGCTCCTACCCTTGTCTATGCCTTTCCACCCAGCCTACTTCTCCTGTTTGAGTTTGCAAACCCCATAAGGCATGTTCCCATCTCTAATTTGGAAACACCATCCGAGTTTTTAAATTTATTTTGAAGGAGGTCATAAAATTCTCGCATTGCAAGATTTTTTTACAGCACCTTTATTGAGATGTAACTCACATGCCGTGAGATTTGCCCTTTTAAGGTACACAATTCAGTGGCTTTTAGTATACTCAGAGTTGTACAACTATCACTCTTCTCTAGTTTTAGAACCTTTTCATTGCCCTAAAAAGAAACCCATACCCACCAACAGTTGCTCCCCCTGTCCTACCCCACCACCCCTGCCTGGCCTAGGCAACCACTAATCTATTTTCTGTCTCTATAGATTTGTCTATTCTGGACGTTTCAGATAAATGGAGTCATGTATTATGTGGCCTTTTGTGCCTGGCTTCTCTCACTCAGCATAGTGTGTTCAGGGTTTATCCATGTTGTAGTATCTATGAGTTCTTCATTCCTCATTTTATTTATTTATTTATTTATTTATTTATTTATTTATTTATTTATTTATTTTGAGATGGAGCCTCACTCTATTGCCTAGGCTGGAGTACAGTGACATGATCTTGGCTCACTGCAACCTCCATCTCCCGGGTTCAAGCGATTCTCCTGCCTCAGACTCGCAAGTAGCTGGAATTACAGGCGCCTGCCAACACGTCTGGCTAATTTTTGTGTTTTTAGTAGAGATGGTGTTTCACCATTTTGGCCAGGCTGATCTGGAAATCCTGACCTCAGGTAATCCGCCCATCCCGGCCTCCCAAAGTGCTGGGATTACAGGTGTGATTCATCCCTCATTATGGCGGTATAATATTCTGTTGTATGAGTAGACCGCATCATATTTATACATATATCGGTCGATGGATATTTGAGTTGGTTCCACTTTGGGGTTCCTATGAATACTTCCTGGAAGACTTTAAATCCTATTAAATAATTGTGTGTGTTATGTAGCACTTTAGGCATAAGAGAAAAAGCATCACATCAGAAAAACAAGGATAGGTTGTCAACATTCCAAAAAGTTTGGAAAAATCACTACTATAAGAAGAAAACTATAACCTAACAACTCCTGAGTTAGAGCAAAGGGCAGCACCAGGGAAAGAACCTGAGTGGAGGGCTGGAGAGGGGAAGACAGGGCAGGCAGCAAGCTTCACTGGAGGGAGCCTCAGGCAAAGTTTGGCTTCCATCAGCCCCTCTGACCTAATTCGTCTAGGAAATCATCAATGTCCAGTGTGCACTAAAGTGAATCTGGCTCTGAACGCGGAGGTAGCAGGGATGGTGACAGCACTGCACATTCTCAAAAGCCCATTCCTTGTGATATTTTACATCCTTCTGTTGTTAAAGGGCTTCCAGTATAGAGGACATGCTTACACAGCACAAGCCTTCCCCTTAATTGCTGGGTCCTGCTGAAGATACAGTGCCTGTCCAGTTAGAAAGAAGGTTCTTCTCAAGGATTGCAAACATGTGGCATTTATATGAGTACTACAGCAAACAGCTGTCTCTTGATAGCAAGAAGCTCCCCTTAACACTGTGATCCCAAAAGACAAAGTATGTTTTCAGAATGATTGTCCAAGTTTATGATAAAGCAGATAGAAGGAGGCCCTGCTCTTTTGTGAAGTCGTCTTGCTTTCATTGGAGGAGTAATGCTGATTTCCTGTTTTATGGAGAAGATAAGCCTAGGAAGACACTTGCTTTATAACAACAGCAGTAGGAGTAATTTATTGAGGACCTACTGTGTGCCAAGCACATTCTTACTGTTAATTAGTCCAGCATCCTACAAAGTAGATATTTTGATTCTCATTTAATGGGTGAAAAATTTGACGCTCAGACGTGGCGCAGGATTTAAGATCATTTAACTGGTGAATGGCAGAGCTTGCATCTGAGCCCTGGACAAAGGCTATAAAACCCAGGTCTCTATTCCCCTAGGGCCATCTTCCCAGGAGATGATATTTCTGGGAGGGAAGAGGTCTTAATGTGAATGACAGAATCTCATCTCTCTGGGACAAGATGGCCAAAGGCAAAATTGTTGGCTAGGTGAATCTGGCAGCAGAATCTAGCCTACTGCAGCTGGGACAGCAGGCAGCTGCCCACATGTCCAGCATGGTACTCTGAACTCCAAGGGGCTGTCCTCACTCTGGCAAGAACTCAGGGCCCTAAACATTTCTTCATCCTATCCCCAAACACAGCTCACCAAATTGTTGCCCTCTCTTATATGGAGTTGATGAGCCTGTGTCTGTAAAGGTGTGAATGACTAGGGTTGTACACTGTGTTACCCTCCATAGTCCTTCACCCAAATGAATGTCCTTCCTAGTAGGTATTTCAGGCAGACTTTTGGGGCAGTTGTGCCCTAGGTACTCCTCAAATCACTTTATGAAGGAAGCTGCCTATATGTAGGGGAATCTTACGCAATAATCATTTTGGAAGTTGAAAGACGTCAGGCAGGATGGGCCAGATTATGCTGTGGTTACAAACAACTCCAAAATCTTAGTGACTCCTGACAACAGAAGTTTATTTCTTGCTCAATCTCTGTGGCTGTTGCAGGTCAGCCTGGGATTCTGCCCTGCAGCTCCTCACTCTGGGCCCCAGGCTGATGGAACGATCATGTCAAATGTTGAGGTCATCGTGGCAGAGGGAGAGAGTCCTGGAGGATACTGCACCTGCAATTAGGTGCTCTGATCTGGAAGTGACTCACCTTACCGCCATTCACAGCTCAGTATGGCACTACCCAATCACAGGGGCCAGAAGCGAAGTCCACCAGGTGCCCGGAAGTGGAGCAGAGCCGGAAAGATTTGGCAAACTGCTCTCATGTCCATCACAAGTCTCTTGAAGTGTCCCTCCCTGCCCTCTGTCACTTCTTCCCTCTCTCTTACTGTGGATTACCACAGGGAGGGCTTCAGGCCAGAAGGACCCAGGCCCACCACTCACTGGCTGCGGATGTGTGGGTACGTTACCTCTACAAAATGGAGACTAACACTTACTTGAAAGTGTGTTGTTGTGAGGATTCCATGAGCCTGGCACAGCAGTGTCCAGTAAATGATAAGCTATCAGGTACTCTCTGATGAAAAATTATGTTCTCTCATAGCCAAAAAAGTCCAGTGTTTCACTTTCTTTTGATCCTATTTTCCTTAGACAAACCAAGGTTTGGAATTCTATTCTAAGAGAAGGAAATAAGTGTTAAAATGCTACTACTTATATATTTGAAAGACCAGAAGGAACCAAAATTAAATGTCCAAAAACAGGAGAATAATTAAGGAAATTGATCTCGAACTCCTGACCTCAGGTGATCCACTCACCCCAGCCTCCCAAAATGCTGGGATTATAGGCGTGAGCCACCGCTCCTGAGATTAAGTAAACTGACCTAATGACTTCATGAAATGTTATGCAGCTATAAAAATAATAAGGAAGATTATGTATCAACATGTAAAATGCCCATGATAGTATATGGATTGAAAAAGTGTCAAAAAGCTAAAGGTATCCATTGACCACAAGTATGTTAAAATAAACACAGGTGACAAAAGACTGGATTTGAAAATATGAAAAATGGCAGTTGTATCAGAGTTGTTAAATTATGAATGTTCTGCAATGTTATTTATATAGTTTTAAACACTGTTATTTTACAGATAGAAAAACTTCAGAAAAATATCCTAAATGCATTTATTGGCACTCTCAGAAACTATTAAGAAAATTTAAAAATAGATACATTAATATCATGGTAGGCTAATACTACATAGATTGTCTCCAGCTCATGAACCCAGTGGAAGAAACTGGGCAAGAGATAAGTTTAAGTGTTTTAGAAAGCAGAACTAATAGAACATGGTCTTTGGCCAGTAAAGTCTATACACACACATGTTATGGTGGCTTCCACGTGTGAGCAGGCCTGGTGAAGCTGGGAAAGGAGTAGAGGGCCCTTCAGACCTGGCCTGGAGAGCTGGTGGAGCAACCGGTCAGTCGTCTTCGGTAGTTAGTGGTGGGTTACCAGGTCAGTCTCTCCCAGGGACCTGAGGACCCGGGTTATGAGAAACATGGCTTTTCATTCCTGGCATTTTCAGGTCTCTTCCAGCCCCTGACACAGAGGTCCATGGTCTTCAGATTCTCCCAGAACCTAATTTAAAGCTCAGATACTCGTATCCCCACCCCCAGGACTTTGATTTGATGGGACTGGCGCGGGGTCCAGGAATCTGCACTGTGATGCTCTCCCCGCAGAGTGCGCTTTGCGCCTGGCAGGAGGGGCTCAAAGATGTGTCTGTCAAGTGAACGAACTAACAGGACTCATGAGGGACTCAGCTTTGACTACGGTGGGCAGGCCTGCAGCGTTCACATTTTCCCGATGATTTCTGTGTGGGCTGGACTCCCCCGCCCGCCGACACCAGACACACCTGCTGCCCCCTCCCCATCCAGAACCCCCGAGGAAAGGAAATTTGCACTGCACAGCGGGTCTTCACAGGGCAATTCCAGCATCTGTGCAAAGCGGTTTCGCGTCGGTTAATGCTGCCTTCGATGAGAAGGAAGACGTTATCACAGGAGGGAGCTAGCTCAAATTAAAGAGTTCGAGGGCCCGAAATAGCTGGGAAAATGGCTGCCTTTGTAAGAAAACCAAACCTACTTTGCTGAGCGGACTGGTTATAAAACATCCAGGGAGAGAAGACGGTCTTGGAAGCCGGACAAGAGGGAATGAAACAAAAGTTAGATCGTGTCAGCCTTTGAAATGCCCCTCAGAGGCAGCGTGGCCGATGTTTTCTGGCGAGATACAGGGAGCTGGTCTTCATTCCCTCCTCTATGAAGTGGGGGTTCCAATGCTCCCTCCCTCGGGGCCCCTTCCCTCGGAGTTCCTCTTAAGGATCAAATGAAATGCTTTAAATTGCTCAGGACAGTGCCTGGCACCGGGTGAAACTTGGGCGTTTTCACCATTACTTTCTGATTAGCATGCACGTGGCCAATAGTGCGCACCCACATAAAGGCAGGGCGGGTGTCCACCTGCGCCTAGGAAGAGCAGTCCTGGCACCCCCTCTCCCCACCCAGCTTGCTCCACCACCAACCAAGGGAGCCTCTGGGGTGAGCTGAGGAAGGGTCGGGGTGCTCAGGCCTGTCTCCCGTCAGGATGTCCTGCAGCCTCAGCAGTCTCCGTGGGCCTCTCAGTCGTGGTGGCTATTAGGGGCTGACTGTGGCTGCGGGATCCAGCTACAGGGTAAAAACGGGTTTCCCCAGGGTGGGTGACCCATCAGCCCAGGAGGAGACCTGGGGCCTTGAAACCAACCCCCTTCTACCTGGGCATGTAGAGCCGTGCACTCGCTGGATAGACATTTATCTCCATGTGGAGGACTGGGATGGTCCCTCCACAGGGAGATAAATGTTTATCCAGCAGGTGCACGTGTCTCCAGGACCAAGTGCTGAGATTCTGGTTTCGACTTCAGACTATGCTGCTTGACCTAGTAAATAATAAGTGGAGTGGAGTGGAGTGGAGTGGAGGCTTGCTTCTGGGAGCGGGCTGAGAAAACACAATTATGCACTCCTGTTCAGCCAGAATCCACACTTACCATGTGACTCTCCTGAAAATCAACCTATAAATGATTTTCTCCTTTCCTTATTCTTGCCCCTTTGCTACAAGATGCTACTTTTTGTATGAAAGGTGATTGAAAGCACATGCTCTAGAAGCAGTGACTCCACAAACTTACTACAGAAAAATGAAGAAGGGCCTAATGGGAGAGGCACTTCTGTGGTCCTTACATGTGGATACAAAGGGCAGCTTTGCTCTTAGGAACTTAGGAAATTTTCCAGCATTTATTGAGCGAGGTGCAGACAAAACCAGTGCCAACTGTATCCCTGATAGTGTTGATGGGAGGTGCTGTGTACCAGTGCTGTGATGGACTGTGCCATATTGTGTTGCTTCCTGAATAAAATTAATATTTTGCAGGCACTATGCTTTGAAAAGCAAAGATAACAAGATAACTGGTGCTTTCAAAAATCTGTGATTCATTTTAAGAGTAGTAGTCACATTTTAATGAACAAAACTGTGTATATGTATGGTATACAACATGGTATGTGATATATGTATGCACTGTGGAATGATGAAATCAGACTATTTAACACATATATTAGCTCACATACTTATCATTTTTGGGGAGTGGGAACACTTACAATCTACTCTTTAAGCGATTTTTAAGAATACAGTATATTGTTATTAACTCTAGTCGTCATGATGTACAATAGAGCTGTTGAATCTGTTCCTCCTGTTTGACTGGAATTTTGTGTCCTTTGACCAACATTTCCCCAGACTCCCTCCCTGACAATCCTTGGTAACCACCATTCTCCTCTCTTCTTCGATAAGTTTCACTTTTTAAGATCCCACATATAAGTGAGATTATGCAGTATTTGTCTTTCTGTGCCTGGTTTATTTCACTTAACGTAATGTCCTCCAGATTCACCTGTGTCGTTGCAAATAATGGGATTTTCTACTTTTTTTAAGGCTGAATAGTACAGATTGACTATCTCTTATCCAAAATGCACGGGACTAGAAGTATTTTCGATTTGGGAGTTTTTTCAGATTTTGGAATACTTACATTATTCTTACTGGTTGAGCATTCCTAATCCAAAAACCCCAAATCCAAAATGCTCCCAAATCCAAAACATTTTGAGTGCCAACATGACACCAAAAATGGAAAATTTCACACGTAACCTCATGTGACAGGTCATGGTCAAAACACAGTCAAAACTTTCCTTTGTGCACAAAATTGTTTAAAATATTGTGTAAAATTACTTTCAGGCTACATGTGTAAGGTGTGTATGAAACATAAATGAATTTCATGTTTAGACTTGTGTTCCATCTCCAAGATGCCTCATTATCTATATGCAAATATCCCCAAATCTTAAAAAAAAAAAGTTTGAAGTGCTAATGGTCACAAGCATTTCGGATAAGGGAAATTCAACCTATACCATATTTTCTTTTCTTTTTTTTTTTTTTTTTTGAGACGGAGTCTCGCTCTATCGCCCAAGCTGGAGTGCAATGGTGCCATCTAGACTCACTGCAGCCTCCACCTCCCGGGTTCAAGCAATTCTCCTGCTTCAGCCTCCCGAGTGGCTGGGACTACAGGCACCCACCACCATGCCCAGCTAATTTTTTTGTATTTTTAGTAGAGAAGGGGTTTCACCATGTTGGTCAGGCTGGTCTCGAATGCCTGACCTCAGGTGATCCACCTGCCTCAGGCTCCCAAAGTCCTGCGACTACAGGTGTGGTCCACTGTGCTCAGCCCCACATTTTCTTTATTCATTCATTTGTTAATAGACACTTAGGTTGTTTTATATCTTGGCTATTGTGATAATACTGCAATGAATATGGGAGTGCACATGTCTCTTTGACATACTGAGTTCCTTTCCTTTGAGTATATACCCAGAAGATGCATTGCTGGATCATATGGTAGTTCCATTTTTAGTTTTTTGAGGAATCTTCATACTGTTTTTTATAATAGCTGTACTCATTTACATTCTCACCAACAGTGTGCAAGGATTCCCATTTCTTCACATCCTTGCCAACACTTATCTTTTGTCTTATTGATAACAGTCATTCTAACAAGTGTGAGGTGATATCTCATTGTGGTTTTAATTTGCATTTCCTTGATGATTAGAGATATGCAACATTCCTTCATATACCTGCTGGCCATTCATATGTCTTCATTTGAGAAATGTCTATTCTCATTTTTTAATTGGGTTATTTGTTTTCTTAGTATTGAATTGTTTGAGTTCCTTATGTATTTTGAATATTAACCCCTTATTAGGTTTGTGGCTTGCAAATATATTCTCCCATTCTGTAGGTTGTCTCTTCACTCTATTGATTGTTTCTTTTGCTGTGCAGAGCTTTTCAGTTTGATGTAACCCCATCTGTCTATTTTGCTTCTGTCTCCTGTGCTTTTGGGGTCACATCCAAAAAATTATTTTCCAGATCATTATCATGGAGCTTTTACCCTTGTTTTCTTCTTCAGATCTTACATTTAACTTTTAATCCATTCTAAGTTGATTTTTGTATATGGCATAGATGAGAGTCTAATTTCATTCATGTGTATGTACATATCCAGTTTTCCTAGCATAATTTATTGAAGAGATTATCCTTTTTCCTTTGCGTGTTTTAGGAAACTTGTTGAAAATTAATTGAAAATGTGTGTGTTTGTTTCTGGGCTCTCTGTTCCATTGGCCAATATGTCTGTTTTTATGCCAGTACCATACTGTTTTGATTACTATTGTTTTCTAGTAGATTTTGAAAGCAGGTAATGTGATGCCTCCATCTTTTTTTGCTCAATATTACTTTGGCTATTTGGGATCTTTTGTGGTTCCATATGGATCTTAGGATTTTTTTTTCTGTGAAAAATATCATTGTAATTTTGATAGGGATTGCGTTGAATCTGTAGATCACTTTAGGCAATATGGACATTTTAACAATATTAATTCTTTCAATCCATGAACATGGGATATTTTTACATTTATTCATGTCTTCAATTTCTTTCATCAGTGTTTTATAGTTTTCAGCATACAGACCCTTCACCTCTTTGGTTAAATTTATTCCTAAGTATTTTAGTATTTTTTGGTAACTCTTGTGAATGAGATAGTTTTCTTGATTTATTTTTCAGGTGGTTCACTGCTAGTATATAGAAACAACACTGATTGTTAGTATATAGAAATAACACTGTTGATTTTGTATGCTGTAACATTACTGAATTTGTTTATTAGTTTTAACAGATTTTTGGTGGAGGAATTGCAGAAAAATTCACAAAGATGTGAAAATTAAACAACATGCCCTTAGACAACCAATTTCTTCTTTGATGAGTGGGTCAAAAAGAAATTAAAAGGGAAATTTTAAAAATATCTTGAGACAAATGAAAATGGAAGTACATCATATCAAAACTTATGGGATGCAGCAAAACAAGTCCTAAGAGGGAAGTTTATAGCAACAAATACTTGCATCAAAAAAGAGGAAAGATCCCAAATAAACAACTTAACATTAACCTCAAGGAACTAGAAAAAAAGAGAACAAACTGAGCCCAAAGTTAATAGAAGGAAAGAAATAATAGAGATCACAGCAATATGAAATAAAGACTAGTAAACAATAGAAAAGATAAATGAAGCTGAGTTGGTTTTTTGAAAAGATAAAATTAACCTTTAGATAGACTAAAAACGAAAAAAGACTCAAATCAGAAATGAAAGAGGAGACTTACATCTGATACGATTAAAAATACAAAGGATCATAAGGGACTACCATGAGCAATTGGATAAACTAGAAGATATGGGTCAATTCCTAGACACATACAACCTATCAAGACAATCATGAAGACTTAGAAAACCTGAACAAACCAATAATGAGTAAAAACATTGAATCAGTATTAAAAAGTCTGCCATCAAAGAAAAGCCCGGAACTTGATAGCTTCACTGCTGAATTCTACCTAACATTTAAAGACAACCCAATACTAATCCTTCTAAAACTCTTCCAAACAACTGAAGAGGAAGGAATACTTCCAAACTCATTTTATGAGGCCAGCATGTCCTGAGAGCAAAGCCAGACAAAGCCCCTACAAGAAAAGAAAATTACAGACCAATATTCTTGATGAACATAGATGCAAAAATTATCAACAAAATATTAGCAAACTGAATTTAACAACACATCAAAAGGATCATTCACCATGATCAAGTGGGATTTATCCCTGGGATCCAAGGATGGTTCAACATATGCAAGTCAATAAATATAATACACCACATTAACAGAATAAAGGACAAAAATCATCATCGCAATAGATGTAGAAGAGGTATTTGACAAACCTCAACATCCTTTCATGATAAAAACTCTCAACAAATTAGGTGTAGAAGGAATGTACCTCAACACAGTAAAGGTCATATATAACAAACCCACACTGACATCATACTCAGTGGAGAAAGGTTGAAAGCTTTTCCTCTAATATCAGGAACAAGACAAAGATGCCCACTCTCAGCCACTTCTTTTCAACATAGTACTGGAAGTCCTAGCCAAAATAACTAGGTGAGAGAGAGAAATAACAGGCATCCAAATAGGAAAATAAGGCTGGGCGCAGTGACTCATGCCTTAATCCCAGCACTTTGGTAGGCTGAGGGGGGTGGTCACCTGAGGTCAGGAGTTCGAGGCCAGCCTGACCAACATGGTGAAACCCCGTCTCTACTAAAAATACAAAAATTAGCTGGGCGTGGTGGTGTGCACCTGTAATCGCAGCTACTCGAGAGGCAGAGGCAGGAGAATTGCTTGAACCCAGGAGGCAGAGGTTGCAGTGAGCCGAGACCGTGCCACTGCACTCCAGGCTGGGTGACAGAGTGAGACTCTGTCTCAAACAAAAAGCAAAACAAAACACAAATAGGAAAATAAGTTGTTGTTTGTGCAGACATTATCTTAAATATAGATAACCCTCAAGATTTCACCAAAAAACTGTTAACACTTTTGATTTTTGAATATATTCCATAAATCCATAAATGTAGAAATGTCCTAAAACCATCTATGTTTTGTTTTTCTTGGCCTATATTGGCAAAATTTATTTTATTTTTTTGATACATTTATTTCTTTTCTTTTAAACTCACCCTTATAAAAAAAACTCATTTGGCTAAACAGTCCTTATTAAGCAGACACTGACAAAGATGGGTTACAATAATTATTTGAAATTTTTCTCTGTTCCAGACCTGTGGTATATGGAACCATAGCATAGCTCTGCACCATACAGCCACAATATTTATTTATATTTAGAAAGTTGTAACAGTCTTTTGCCTCTAGGATCTTTGTCAGTTATTTATGGTACTGGAACAGGAACGTAGAAAGGTTTTTCCCACTTTTCCACTAGTATATTTGAGTTTTGTCATACTGTTGTATGAACGACGTTAACTTTCTTTTGACATAGGTAAGTAAAATAGCTAACAATTTTATGTTATGTTTTGGTGGTGTGAGTTTTTATTCTAGTAGACTTTAATTAAATACCCTTTGTCATTCAGTTAATATATCTGTCTATTTAAATTAGTTTGTCTTTAAAATAGAGCTACTAGGTAATTAGGTTCAGTGCCACATCCTGGATTAATAAGAAGTTTCTAATTTAAGACCACGTCATTGGCAAACTTTGCATTAAACATGTGTTCAGGAATGTTCAATACATTAAGTCTTCAGTACTCTCTACTTTGAAGCAATCATGATTTTAAAAAATTGAACAATGATAGAGTTTTTATTATGTATTATTTGATAAAACCTTTGTAAGTTAGGAAGCATAGTACTAAAATGAGCAGTCACAAATCCTCCAAGTCTCAGAACTAGAATTTTACCAACACTGTTGTGTTTCTCTTAGAACAATCTCACAATCTTACTCTCTTACCTTTTCCCAAAGTTAACCACAATGCTAATTTTATAATTTATTTTTTTAAATGGCAATTCCAGGTTCAGATTTAAGACTTCTGTTTTCACATTCTATTTTCTTTACTTCTAATCATTTTGCTGAAAGTGACCTTCCATGGAGTAAATGACTGGATTGGCTTTCACTAGCCTTGTCCACACACAAGAGAGTCAAAGAATGGTACCTTTACGATTTCTAGAGGGGTTCCAAGAAGGAATGAAGGAAACTGTTAGTTCATATTGTTGTCTAAACTCTGCTGTTTTCCTGTTGTTTCTGTATTACTGGCTCCAAATATCAGCCTCTAGAAAGTTCATCTTTATATCCCTAACACTTAGAATAGTGCCTGGGACACAGTAAATGTTCAGCCAGTGTCCATTATATTTAATAAATGTCATAGAAAAAATTAGATGGAAGATTGTTTCCATACCATTTCATTTAAGATGTTTGACCATGTGAAGTGAAACAGTGAAGAGAGTGTGTATGTTAAACCATGAATTACATGAAGCCTCTAGCAGGTGCACCAGATCCATGATCTGGGTTGGTTCCCATGCCAACCCAGTGACACCCAGGAAAGGTCCGCGGGGAGACATAATGTCAGCCAACTGTGTTGGGCTGGAGATCTCTCCTCCCTGTAATCCTCACTATCACCCACCTGTCAGAAAGCCAGCATGGCATTGTGATTAGGAGCATGGACTCTGGAGTCCACCTTCCTGGATTTAGGTCCCACCTCAGCCACTAACCAGCTGTGTGACCTTGGGCAAGTTACATACCCACTCTGTGCCCCCAGTTATGGGAAATGGGGATATAGTACTTACCTCATAGGAGTGTTTTGAGGATTAAATGAACACAGATATATAAATGTCTTAGAACTGTGATTGGCACATCCTAAGTGCAGTGTAACAGTTTGCTTTTATTTTATGTGTCTTAAGGTTTTTTTTACTGTGTTCATATTTTCAGTTGGATATCACCACCTTTGGGATATTGATTTCTGACAATCGGTTTCCAACAGGGGGAGTGGAAGGTCCTTCTTCTCAGGCAGCCCCTGGTATGGCTCTCAGGCCCTGGAAATGCCCTCCTGCTGGCATTTGCCTTGTGCCCCTGCCCTTTCTGAAGTGCCCTTGCAGGCTTTTCCACAGGAACAGCCCTCAGTTTAAATACCTCGTTAGCCATCGCTTTTGCCAAAAGCTTCTGAGCTCACAGGAGGTTGGCTCTACTTCTCAAAGGTGTAAACAGAAGTGGCATGGAGGTGTTTACCTTTAAGCCTGATCAAGTCGTTATCAGGACAAATATGCCAAGGGAAAGAATTCACTCGATATGTATGAAGTAGAGTTGTGCAAAAACAAAGCTGTGCACTGGGCCTGCCCAAGTGGACACTTCCCTGGTCCCCTCCTGGCCCAGAGAGAGCTGGAAGGCTGGTGGTGGTTTGATGATTGAGCCATTTCTGTGGTTTCAATGTGAATCTGATCAGACAAGCCTTCCCACCTCCATGAGTGAAAGTAGACAGCCCTTGCTGGGTTAGACTCTCCTCACACAAAGAGGAAAAAGGGGAAGCTGCCAGGATCCTCGAGGGGGTAGGGGAGCTTGGTTTGCAGGCACATTGGGAGGGCCAACTGGACAACAGTGGCCCACCTATGTCACAGGTTGCTGTTAAGAGCAAGTGAACTGTTTGATAGGTGGTGGACATGTTGGGCTCAGCGTTGGACCAAGAGAGGACACTGGGAGAGGTCCCTGGGGAAGGGGAGTGTTTCATCACTGACATTTCTTCCTTTCATCTGTCCTTGGCGATGCTAGATAACAAATAGACTTTGGGTCAGGTTTTTTTTGTTGTTGTTGTTTTGGGTTTTTTTTTTTTTGCTTTTTTTTTTTTTTTCAGAGGCTTGCTCTGTCACCCAGGCTGGAGTGTTATGGCGTGACCTTGGCTCACTGCAACCTCTGCCACCCGAGTTCAAGCGATTCTCCTGCCTCAGTCTCCCAAGTAGCTGGGACCACAGGCATGCACCACCATGCCCAGCTAATTTTTGTATTTTTAGTAGAGACAGGGTTCACCATGTTGGCCAGGCTGGTCTTGAACTCCTGACCTCAAGTGATCCACCCACCTCAGCCTTCCTAAGTGTTAGGATTACAGGCGTGAGTCACTGTGCCCGGCCTAGGCCAGGCTTTTGATGGATTTAAATTCCTTCCAGCTGGTGAACTCGCTTATGGCCTGCACCCAGTAGACGGCTCCCACTTTGCTACCCATGGCATGCTCTGGATTGGATCAGATGATCATGGTTTTAAGAAAAGCCCAATCTGAGGGTACAGTTGTATCACCATGATGGACATTGGTTCTTCTAAGAGTATAACTATTACTTCTTGATGCTCCTGATTCTGGGTTATGTGCTCAGAGAATGTTTGAACGGGCATCCTCAGCTTTTAGGAGATAAAATAGATTTTCATATTGCAACAAAAGGGGTATAAATATTATATTTTCCTTATTCTCCAATCTTGAAAATAAAATTTTGATAGTTTTAAAAAAATGTGTTTTGCATTGTTCATTGATATCAGTTGTTTTGTTACAAGAGCTAGAGAATCACCAAGTTGTCTAAGTAAGCTGAAACAGATTGTTGAAAAACCCTGACACTGTGCTATTCAACCGAAACCATTATTTTCTATTTTAGCCTGGAGCTAACCCAAATCATCTATAACATTATCTCTAGCTCTGAAATTTTATATGTGCTTGCACGTGTGATGCTTCCTCACTCCCACTCATTTTTTCCATGTAAAACATGGAGAGATCATTGATATTTTTATTGTGTTTTATCTAAATAATCTCTGGAGATCTGAGGCCAAACTTTCTGTAGATGAGCAACTTATGTCTGCTAAGGTGGTGTTTTTATCGTATTTTTCCTTTTTTGGAAGTCTACACAGAAAATGGACAGTTAATTGGAGAGAGGTTGAGCCGTTATGAGTGAATCATTTCCGCATGTGATGCGACTGGTTGTACAGTGAGGTGATGCGACTGGTTGTACAGTGAGGTGCTGGTCAAGAGGAGGCCCCATCTGCCTTGCTGGCCTGATCTCCTGCACTCCCACCGACCCTCTGATTCAGACAAGCTGTTCTCATTACTGCTCTGTGCAGCCCTGGACCCTTCCCACCTTAGTTCAAATTGTTCCTGCACCTAGAATCACTTCCTCCATTACTTGCCTTTTCCCCTTCCTGCCAAAACCCTACCACTTCCACCTGTAGAAATTTACCTGTAGTAATTATACCTAACACAAACGTCACCTCTTCCAGGAAGTCCTCAGTGCCTACCCCAGTTGGGAATGAGTGAAGGGGACTCATTCTTGATATTACTTTAGCCCCTATTTTTTGCACCATTCCTAAAGCTCGATAGCACCGATGCTTAGAATTGTTTCTTTCTATCTATCTATCTGTCTACCTACCTACCTACCTACATATTATCCATCTATCTTACTTCTCTTATTAGATTATAAGCAACTAGAGGTGCATGGCTGGGTCCTGAAGATAGCTTTCCTGGTTCAAGAGTGGGGCCAAGTTCAGAGGGTGGGGCAGAGAAGACTTGAGCTCAGAGAGTACATCGCAATTGTTGATTAAGCAAGGCAAACTTTTTTTTTCATAACTTGATCAGTTCTTTCCATGGGACATTCCCACTGAAACTACTTCACAGAAAGAAAGCTTGCAAAAAAAGTGCACGATCTTCTTGATGTTCTGAGAGTTGCGGTTTTCTGGGAAATTGTTTCAAAATATAAACTTGGCCTCTGATAGTAGCCAGTTGGAGATGTTTGGTTTGAATGCCTGTAGTAAAGTGAGGACACCTAACGTCTATATTTCTTTTCTTTTCTTTTTTTTTTTTTTTTTTGAGATGGAGTCTTGCTCTGTTTCCCAGGCTGGAGTGCAGTGGCACGATCTCGGCTCACTCTGCCTCCCATGTTCAAGTGATTCTCCTGCCTCAGCCTTCCAAGTAGCTGGGATTACAGGCACGTGCCATCATCCTTGGCTAATTTTTTTTTTTTAGTAGAGACCGGGGTTTCACCATGGTGGCCAGGGTGGTCTCGAACTCCTGACCTCAGGTGATCCGCCCACCTTGGCCTCCGAAAGTGCTGGGATTACAGGCATGAGCCACCACGCCTGGCTCCAACGTCTATATTTCATTTGCTATTTCTCCCTTAAATAATCTACCTTACTTTCAAGCTGATCAACACTGTCTTCACAGCCTGTCCAGGCCCCAGCTTAATTGGTCTGAATTGTTGCTCTCAGTGTGAACATTTCGCTGTCTTCTCGAGTCTGAATTGGATGACACCGAATGGTTTTAGAATGTCAAAATCATTTTTTTTTTTTTTTGAGATGGAGTCTTGCTCTGTCACCCAGGCTGGAGTACAATGGCATGAACTCAGCTCACTGCAACCTCTGCCTCCCGAGTTCAAGTGATTCTCCTGCCTCAGCCTCCCGAGTAGCTGGGATTACAGGCATGCTCCACCAAGCCTGGCTAATTTTTGTATTTTTGGTAGAGATGGGGATTTCACCATGTTGGCCAAGCTGGTCTTGAACTCCTGACCTCGTGATCTGCCCACCTTGGCATCCCAAAGTGCTGGGATTACAGGTGTGAGCCACCAGGCCTGGCCTTCAAAATAATTTTAGAGTGAATCCAGGCAAGATGTGATAGCATGCCAGTGAAAGACCTGGACCTGGTAGCTATAAGCATGCTGATTACATTTTTAATCATATTTTTCTCTCTGGGCAGCATTTTGATGTGATTCTCTTGCAGGGTATATCAAATACAGTGTGTTGTTGCACAGAAGCAAAGTAAACCCTGCTATCTCAGCCCTTCTTTAATCAACTCATTCTTTAGAAATATTGGTTTTTCTCCCTGCTGACACTCTGTATGCAATTCATGCTGGTCTTGTTTTTTGCAAAAGATTGTTCTGCCTTACAAAACGGCAGCGTTGATGCACAGTGTCTGACTAGGAGCCTTGGGCAGTGCATTATTTGTCCGTGAGGCTCATCTTCATAAGAGAAATACCTTTAAAATGGGATGAAATATGTTTTTCCCCCTGAACTGGTGATGTGCTTTCTTTTACATAAAATCACAGTGGGAAAATGGCAAAGTGAACTTAGGCTCACAGTAATGATGATGATGATGGGCCTTGCTGAGACATAGTGCAGCTCTTTAAACCATTTCATGATTATTACCAGCTAATTCCTAGAGTCCCTCTGCTAGAAGGGCAATTTTTATTGTTGCTGTCGAAATTACATAGAAGTGGCTCAGGAGGTTTGACGGTGGGTAAAGCCCCTTTGCATCCGTGGACCTTCCATGTTGTATGTGTGCACATGGGTAGGTGTGCACACGCTTGCTACATGAGGAAGCCAGACTTCTCTGTTTTGGGGAACTTTAAGATGCATGACTTAGTGCTCTTTTGATTTCTATTTGTGATCTCAAATCTTTCTGTGTAGTTAAAAATAGACATGGAGTCAACCTACATGCCCATCAGGGGTAGACTAGATAAAGAAAATGTAGTACGTAAACACCATGGAATACTATGCAGCCACAAAAAAGAACAATATGTCCTTTGCATCAACATGGATGGAGCTGGAGGCCATTATCCTAAGCAAACTAACACAGGAACAGAAAACCGAATACCTCATGTTTTAACTTATAAGTGGGAGCTAAACAATGAGAACACACAGACACAAAGAGGGGAACAATAGACACTGGGGCCTTCTTGAGGGTAGGGGGTGCGGGGAGGGAGAGGATCAGAAAAAAATGCCTATTGGGTACTAGGCGTAGTACCTGGGTGACAAAATAATCTGTGTACCAAACTCGCATGACACGAGGTTATTTATATATATATGTATATATACGTATATATATATGTGTATATATATATACATATATATACACATATATATACGTATATATACATTATACGTATATATACACACATATATACGTATATATACACACATATATACGTATATATACATATATATGTATACACATATACATATATATACGTATATATACATATATATGTATATGTGTATATATACATATATTTATATATACACACACAAATAGAGGTATATAACAAATCTGCATACGTACCCCTGAACCTTAAATAAAAGTTAAAAGAAAAAAAAATTCTTCATTTTTATTAGAAAATTTTCTAGGGGAAAAAAAACCAGTTTTTCCTCTAATATTTTACAAAGAAATAATCCTTTCGGGCAATCAAAAATTTTTCCAGCATTTACACTGCAATTACCATGGGCGATTTTTGTGATTTACAGTAAGGTAATAAATGGTAAGTTTTTCTTAAAAAAATAAAAATAAAAATAAGGCACCCAAGGGATCTGGGGTGCAAACACAATTGAAGAAAACCATGACCAGAAGCCCTCCCTTTGAAAACTGCCTACTAAATTACAATTCCGGATAGTGAAGCTGATAGAAGTGAGAAGATTTGGTTTATTTAAAAATAATAGCGACCAGCCTGGCCAACATGGTGAAACCCCATCTCTACTAAAAATACAAAAATTAGCCGGATGTGATGGCACGTGCCTATAGTCCAGCTACTCGGGAGGCTGAGGCAGGAGAAGCGCTTGAACCTGGGAGGCAGAGGTTGACATGAGACGAGATCGCGCCACCGCACTCCAGCCTGGGCAACAGAGCAAGACTCTGTCTCAAAAAACCAATAAAAATAAATAAAATAAAATAAAATTAGGTAGATGTTGGAATTATAGACTCTTGGACCTAGACATGAACCTGAGGCCCTGAGCCTGATCACTCGTGAACTTGTACAACAGCATTGGGAGGTTTGGGCCTGGGGGTGCCTGTGGTGCCCTGTACTGCAGCAGGGACTGAGCTTCGTGCACATGGGAGGCTTCATCCTCTGCACACACCCGGGATCCACCCCTGGGAGGCAGTTTTGTTGGAGGAAAGGTCTCCACGAGGAAGTATAGGAGCAAGACAGTTTGGAATGTGATTTCTCTCATCCTGCTGGTATCTTTCTTTGTATGTAAAAATTTCCTTTCTGAGTCTTAGCCCAAACGTGATTTCTTTAGATTTTTCCCATGTGTTTATGTGGTTAGATTTTTGTTTTCATTTTTCTTCTGGCTTTATGGTTTTTCTCCCTGTCCCACTTTTCCCACATTGATTTTGCATTTCTGGCAGAGATGGGCAGAGCCCCAGTGACTGACTCTTAAAAGGCTAAATCTTTTTAAAAATTATATAATTTAAAACCTACCCTTGTATCTCCCCTATTTCTGATTTTTTTTTTTTTTTGAAGGGAAAAAAATCTATAAAGAATGCTTCTAAGGCCGGGTGCAGTGGCTCATGTCTGTAATCCCAGCACTTCGGGAGGCCAAGGCGGGTGGATCACTTGAGGTCAGGAATTCAACACCAGCCTGGCCAACATGGTGAAACTCCGTCTCCACTAAAAATACAAAAATATTAGCTGGGTGTGGTAGCACGTGCCTGTAATCCCAGCTACTCGGGAGGCTGAGGCTGGAGAATTGCTTGAACCCAGGAAGTGGAGGTTGCAGTGAGCCGAGATCAGGCCACTGCACTCCACCCTGGGTGACAGAGTGAAACTCGGTGCCCCCTCAAAAGAAAGAATGTTTCTAAAGCTGGTATCCTTGTTTTTTTCCATTTTGCACTTAGGCAATGAGGTGACTGTGTTAGTTCTATTCCGTGGTGTTTATCATTCCATGCTATTAGTTCAGTGAGTTGCCCTGGGCCTCTGTATGACAGTCTCTAGGTGTGTTCTTGGTGACTGCTAAGAGAAACAAGGCTCTCCCATATGTAAGGGAGTCGGCCTGCTGGTATATCCAATCGCGTCACTACACCGGTACCTGTGAACTTGGCCGTATGGTAGACACTCAGCCATGGCTTCAGTATTTCAATTCCGTTAAACTTGCCAAGCACAGCATCTCCTACCTGTATTATCTTGGGCAGTCGACAAATTTCTGGCTGACACCTCTTCACATAAAATGAAGCAATGGATAAGACAAATGTGAATATTCTTTCTAGCTATGAAATTCTAAAATTCGAATTCTCACTTCTGTGTGTATGTTTTTAATTGTCCAAGTTAGATCTTGAATCATTTATATAGATATTTCCATTCTCACTTCCATGAGCACATATTGAGCACCTACCAAGTGCTAGGGCTGGGGGTCCAGAGATAGGAGATGCTGAGACAGGGAGAGAGAGAATCAGAACAGACCTGTGAACAGGGTGGCAGAGGAAGCCTGACGATGCTGCAGGAGCTCACAGGGAGCCCGAGGGAAGAGCCCTTCCCAGAGGAGGTCGTGCTGGAAGGGAAGTGTCAAAGAGAAATATGATTTAACCAGGCAGAGAAGGAAGGCAGGGCAGGCGTGGCAAGG
Organism: Homo sapiens; assembly: GCF_000001405.40. NCBI lineage: Eukaryota > Metazoa > Chordata > Mammalia > Primates > Hominidae > Homo > Homo sapiens. The sequence goes on from NC_000006.12 coordinate 157,486,796, forward strand.
ATGGGTGAGACCCAGAGAACAGGATGTGTAAAGGGAAGAAAACAGAAGGAAGTGTGGTGAGCTGAGAACTGGGCCTCATATGAGGTGAGGAGACGCAGGAGGATGCAGGAGGTGGGCTGGGGAGGCACCTATGGCAGTGGCTGCTGTTGCCTGCAGGCCTGAGCCCAGCTACAGCATTGGTAGGTGTTAGCAGCACTTTTGCAAGTGAAGATGCTGAAACATAGAAAGATTCAGCAACTACTGGACACATAAGTAATAATTAAAAGAGCAAACTTTGAACTTGGGTCTTTGTGACACCAAACCTTAAGCTCTTCCTCTCTGTCTCCCCACGCTGTCCCTAAGGCTGGGGGATGTAGAAGAACCCCTTTGACCCCGGCCCTGGCCACCTTGCCGGGAGTGTGAGTATCATCCTGGAGGACATGGGGCTGATCTCAGAAGGATTTCAGGCAGGAGGGAGATGCAGTTGGGTAGAGAGGTTGAAGGGAAAATGAGACCAGGTGCAGGTCAGCTGATCCATTCTGCTGGGTGACTCAGTTCCAGCGCGGTCCTAGTGAGGGCCTGGGTGGCATTTGGAGTCTCACTGACCTGGTCTTCTGTCTACTATTTCTTTGCAAACCTGTAAGGACTAAAGAAAATCCAAAATAAAGAAAAAAGTGATATCAACTTGTAGTAGTTACTAAACCTTCACTACATGCCCTTGGTGAGCATTATGCCATTTAATCCTCATGACAACCCTCTTAAGTAGAAATGATTAATATCCTTCATGTACAGACGCTGACTGGCCTAAGGCCATACAGTCTGTGCATGGCGGAACTGGGATGAAGCCCCAGGTCAGAGCACTTAACCTCTATGCATACTGCCTTCCAGCAGCACAAGGATTCATGCATGGTTGGAATCAGAGCTTTTCTAAATCTCATGATTGTCGTTGTTATTTTTAGTACTATTATTATTAGGCAGAGGCAAGAGCTAAAGGGAGATGTCAGGACCCAGACTGGCAGCCTCGGCAGCCTCATGACTGGCAGCCAAGGTGTTGTTTTCCTGCTGTGCCCTCTCCCATCCAGGCAGGTCCCCCGGAGCTGCTCTTTCTCCAGCCCCTTCCAGGTCTCAGAGGCTCTCACAGGAGGCCCCCACCCCTCCCCAGCTCCAAGATGCCCTGGACTGGGAGCCATGTGCTGGAGATCATCCCCTCTGCTGCCTGATGGCTGTGGACTCTTTCTCAGGAGTGGTTTCTACTCACATGCAGCCCAGGTGGGACCTGAGAATCCAAGCCATCCCTCCCAGAGAGAAGGCATCCCGTACCCACCACGCAACCCCACCCACATTCCGGGAGGCCTCCCTTCCCAGAGGCAGCACCCACTTCTTTCCAGCCAGACCTTGCCTGGCATTTGGCACCAACTTGCTTCTTAATTGTAGTGGGAGGCGGGTATGAAAGGAAGTTTGGTTTGGAGAAAATGGCTGATCTTCTCTACTCCACTGTGATCAGACTCCAGGCCTGGGAATCTCCTGGCAGGGAGCCCACGGAGCCGGGTTTCTCCCCGACTTGAACTCAATCGAGGATTTCAGGGCATTCTCTTTGGGAGTCCTTGCATCTGAAATCCACTCGCCCTGTGGTCCAAACAACCCTCAATTTGCGTTGCTTCTAGGAGAGGGTGTGTCTGTTTAACAGGCACCATCATCCTATAGGGACAGTCAGAAAATTTAATCTGAAACTCAAGATGTCTGAAGAGCATACCCTTTTTAGGGGTACTTTAGAGCTTAATTTTTAAATCTCAGATGGCCACAAGGCTTCTTTCATTGCAAAGTGTACCTGGCTTTGCAGAGGAGAATTGCATTTTCCTTGTAGCCCTCTTTCCCTCAAGGGTCGCTGGTTCATAAAATGTCCTATCAGTACTCACTACCAGTTTAGTATTTGTCTGTCTTTAGGCAGGTTAGAGCACTGCTGTCTGTAGGGCTGATTGGACCTCACAGACGTGTCTTTAAGAAGAGCATACACGTTTGCATGAATGGGCTTATCTGCCAGGCGCAGGGCACCCCGCCCCCCTTCCCAGGAGTTTGCATTCTGAGCCGCGGTGTGGAGGTGCCTTAGTGTCGCTGGTGTGTCTGCAGCAATCATGCCACCCATTTAATTTCCATAGATTAATTGAGTATGTGTATTTCGTGAGCACAAGGAAGAGTTGTTACTCTGTTTTTAATGGATTTACAAGATAACCTGATGCTGTGCGGTTTGTTTACTGTAGCGGCTTTATGGTGTTTTGTACCAGTAAACGGGCTTCCATCAGCAGATCTGTCTGGAATAAAGATGTTTGCAAATCGAGGGTGTAAGCAACCTGCCTCATCCGATTAACAACTATTCCTGAAAACTCACAGGGAATCTCAGCTTGCTCATTTGAGTTTTATTCCCACTTTTCTCACATAGGAATATTTAGAATTGAAATTTTTAGAAAATGAAAACATTACTGGAGGCTTAAATTGTAATGTGAACCCGATACATAGAACAAACTCATGCGCAATCACTTCCTTCGTAAACGTTGTAGTAGCATTTATGCTGCACCAGAGAAAATCCCGACAAGAAGTGTTGGTTTTGAAATCTGCAAGAAAAATGGACAGGTTTTTTAAAACACCTTTTTATTCTTTCAGTTGTTTTTTTTTTTGAATGTTTTTATTGTTGTTTTTATTGAATGTTTAAAAAACGTTGTTCTCATTTCTTAGAAGTTTTAAATTTTAGAATGCTCTTTGTTGAGGCACTGGGTGTAGGTGCAGTCTCGATTCTGAATTGGAGGGTGGTGGTTATTCATAGGGAGAGGCTGAATTAGATATGTTTAGAACCCAAGATGTGACCCAGCCGCTCTCCACCAGGCACACCGTGTGGCAGATCTGCAGATGTCTGAGATAAGAACCGCAATGCGTGGCCTCTTACAGCAGTGGGGAGGGGAGAAACCTGGGTTTTCCTCCCAGGATGCGGGGAAGCTACTGCAGGGTTTGTGTTTGTTTGAGACAGGGTCTCACTCTGTCACCCAGGCTGGAGTGCAGTGGCGTGATCATGGCTCACTGCTATGGGAGTGGGGAAGATTGGGTGTGTGGCATTAGAAGCTCGCTCTGGCTGCTGAGAGAAGAAAGGATTAGCTGGGAAGAGTGGCAGAAGGAGACAAGTTAGGGACTGCTACCGTAACTGGAGAGAGAGGACAGTCATGGGGAAATGAGGGATGTGGACAGACCTGGGAGGTGGAATCTTCTGATGTTGGTGGGATGGGATGGTGGAGTGGGAGAAAGGGAGAGATCAAGGGTGACCCCCCTCAGTTTCTAGATAGAGAAACACGGTGGACGCTCATGCCATTTACCGGAATGGGGAAGCTGGTTGGGCGAGGGGGGAACAGGTCTTTTATGGGCAGAGGAAGAGAATGCGTGAAAAATTATAAGGGTCTCACAAATTACTGTGGGTGTCTCTAAACAGATATAAGCGTTGTTCATTCACGGTTTTCCAATTCTGTTTTAAATGCTTGAATCTGAATTAAGAGAATCACTTGGGTAATTTTATCTGCTTAATATTTGAAAAGTAATTAAGCCAGCATGTATTCCACATACGGATGCACACACTCCTCAAGCCACCGGGTCAGCAGGCAATGAAGAAGCGCAGATGTGATCCTTGGCCTTGAAAAGCTTTTACTCTAATTAGGGAGGCAAGGTATATCTACATGAAACCGTCAACTAATTATCACTTGTAATTATCTAGAAAATTCTTAAGGCAACCTATAATTAAGCATAATGTAACATGAATTGTGTATGAGATGCTGAAAGCACGAATACACAGGAGAATTTCTGGCACAAGGATGAAGTCAAGGAAGGTCTCTTGGAGAAGTTGAGTCTTGACTTGAACTTTGAAGGAAGTGTCATTATTGCCTTGTAGAGAAGACAAGGAGCGTAAGGCCAGTGGGTGAAGAAGCGGGGAGGGCAGGAAAGGGAATGAATGAAGCCACAGAGGGAGGGCCAGCAGATCTCAGGGCAGTAGTGATAAGACTAATGGCGCAGCTATTGTTCTGCCAGTTGTTGAATGCCTATCAATACCAGGCACTTTGGAGGGAGCTCTGCAACAGTTATCTTATTTAACTATTAAAATAATGTTGCAAGATAAGTATCCCTATTTTGCATATAAGAGAATCAAAGCAGGGAGTGGGGGCGCAGAGGAGAGGTATTAGGGAGGGAAGGGGGAGGAGGGCAGGGTGGCTCAAATGTGCCCGGAGGGCCTGAGATGCCTGTCACTGGCTGGCATGGGCAAGGTGCCGTTTCCCGCACTGCACCTCATCCTCAATACCAGTGCTTCTGACTGCGTCAGACAGTACCCTTCTTGCCCCCGTTTGTCCCCTCGTTCTGTGGGTCGCATTTAGGGTATGCGGCCGCCCTGCAGGGTAGACAGTCTTATTCGAAGGGGAGAGGTATGTTCGGCTGGTCTGGGTACACAGACGTGCTCAACACCTATCCTTTCCCTTTCCCTTTTCTTCTGTGAGGCTTTGTCTTTTGCTGAGGATGGATGAGGCCACGTTCTGAGCTTTTTCTGTGTTCGTTTAGAGCCAAAGGCAGGAACTACATTGATTCTGTGGTCCCCAGAGCACACTGCTTTGCGTATAGTGGGCATGCCATAAATATTTATGGAATGATTGATTGGGCTAGGTTAGTGTTGCTGGACATGAAAAGAAAGGAGATGAATTTGAGACTTTGTAAATGGAAAAACTGTAGGACTTGATGAATACTTTTATAATGAGATTATATCGGTTTCTTCTTCTTTATTTATCAACTTCTGTGAATGAGCTGAATGTGAATTTCTACATTAAAATTTAATTTGTTAAACTCAGAAGCAAAGGCTCAAATCAGCTGCTTTGGCTGGGAGTCCCCAGGCCTGGGGCCGTCATTTGGCTCTGGCTTGAGTCTCACTAACAGGACGCCTTATTGACAAGTGACTCTGGCTCTCACCTGATTAAACAGCTCTGGCTCATAAACTGGCAGGTAAAAGCTTTGGAATGGGCCTGGGAAGGCTGAGAGTGATGGTAATGACAGTCTGTGAGTGGCCAGCGATGCAAGCGTAATCCTAAGGATTAATTCTTTTGATTGTCGAATTACGTCTTGTGCGGATTTGCCATTTTCAGAAGCGCACAGAGCTCACCTGTTGAGTAACCGCGCCACTTCCTGGTCCCTACCACAGGCCGGCCAGGGAAGCCGGGGCTCCCCGCCAGAACACTGCCTCGCCTTCATCACAGCACCAGTTGCCGGTGTTGGTTGCGGCACCTCAGGTGCTCCATCCAGCAGCCCTCCAGGCAGGTGCTGTCACTGTCCCCTCTCACCGGGGAGGAAACCCGGCCTTTTCCCTTGGCTTCTCTGCCACCTGAGCCTTGACCCTCAACATCCCCCCTCCGCCCCCGCCCCCCAGCCACTGTAGTCTCCCTGTGCACTCTGGAGTCACCGTCCTGCCAAGAACCCCACTGACCTCCTCCCCAGCCTTGTCCTGCACCACCTCAACTCGCTAAGTTCCAGCCACCTTGCCCTTCTTTACTCCAAAGACCTCAGGGCATTTCGCTGCCTGCCCGGCCTGCTCTCTGCCCTTCCCCTTCAGCCACCACCGGAAATCAGGAAAGTGGGAAACCGGCAAAGCGGGAAAGCGGGAAAGCGGGAAGGCGGAGGCTCCCTGATCAGCAGCACAGCCAGTTCCAGAATTGGGGAATGATTCTGCCTTGGGGGCAGACTCCTGCTCTTTTGTGCGCCAGGCATTAGACACAGAAGAGGAGGCGCTGTTTCTTGTCCATTCAATCCATTTGCTGAGTGTCTTGTGCGGAAGGCTGTGTTCTACCTGCTGGGACTATTGCAGTGAACTAAGCAAAGCCCCTGGCCTCATGCAGTTTACAATCTAGGGCATGAAGAAATCACTTTACCATGGGACAGGTAGGTGCTGAGAGCCGGGAGGGGAAGACCAGGAGGTGAGGTGCTTGGGAGTGGCCAGGAGCAGGGTGATTTTAGAAGAGACAGGCGTGAGTGGGGACCCAGATGGGAGGAGGGGTGCTTTGCATAAGACATTCCAGGCAAGGCGCGCCCTGGGAGCACAGACCTGGCTAGTTCTTGGAACAGCAAGAAAGGCTGTGGGAAGGGAAGGCAGGGAGGGAAGGATACAAGGAGATAAGATATTACAGCAGGGGAGGGTCCTGGAGGTCAGTATGGGGTGGGAAGCCTCTGGAGGGTTTGAGGCAGGGGAGTCACCTTTTAGGTTTGAAAAGTTTGCCCTGGCACTTGAAAGGCAGAAGCAAGGAGACTGAGGTGCTACTGCAATGATCCAGGCAAAGATGGTGGCACTGGGACCAGGCTGTGTCATTGTAGGTACAGAAGTGGCAGGACATGAGATGTGGTCTAGGGAAGAGCTGATGGATTGGATGTGGGCGCAGGAAGAGAGGAGTCAAGGATGAAAGGGGGAGGCGGAAAGGCAAGTTGGGGACCCGTGACCTTGTGATGAAGGCCTGTCTGCAGGCAGATAAACACCAGCCACCGCAAGGGCGAGCGGGACGGTCTGAGGGCTGGCACAGGCCCGGGCTCCAGGCGGAGAGGGGAAAGAAGTCAGCCCTGTTGGTGAGGGCTCTGCAGAGGCCGGACACACAGAGGGAGCCTTCCTCCAGGAGCTTCAGTGATGGCCTCTCCTGGCAGCAGAGTGTTTGCAAATCCCCTGAAGCCAGAAGCATGCCAGTCAGACGAATTTCCTGGGAAACCATTCAACAATAGGGGAGCCCTCCCAACCCACAGGCCCACTGCTGTGAGAGGTGACCCAGAAAAGCATGAGCCACATCCGTGACAGTGGGATGGACACCATCAGGATGGGTGCTGTGTGGGCACAGCCCTGGAACTTCCAAAGCAGCGATGCTGTCCTGAGGGTCTCAGGCATTTTGGGGTGCAGAAGCTTTTCCTGGGAAGTGCCCGCTTCGTGTCTGCGCACCCAGGTCCGCCGTCCTGTCTGGGAAGTAGGCCGGCACACACAGGTGACACAATCCCCGCCCTTGGCTGTGGAGCATTGGGGGACTGGTTCTTGCCCAGGGTCACTGTGTCCCTCTGCCGCTCCCATGGCACCTCTTATTCAAGCTTGTCCTCAGCTCTAATTGTCAGCTCAGCTCAAGGCCACACCTGGATATCAAACCTTTAATGCCTGACAAGAGCTGGAAGCAAGGAGTGGGGCTTTATGTGGCTTGGGGTACCCTTGTTTGTAAAGAAGAGTGGTCCTCCCCGCAGGAGCCCTGCAGGGCCCTGGCTTGGCTCTGGCTTTTGAGCAACCTTAGCCATTTTGCTTCCTCAGCTTAAGCCTTTATTGCTTCAACTCTAAAATGAGCGGGTTGGACTTGATCACCTCTGAGTTCCCTTTAAAGTCCCTACATTCTGAAATGCTGAGGCCAGAGCCCCTGGGATGTCACTAACATGCAGTTGACTGTGAAGTGCTGGGCCCTCCCTGGGAACTGTTTGACACAAAGATGGGAGATCAGCCGTCCTTGGATGCCTGTCCCTCCTCCGACCTTCCCCTGCACCCTCTGACACTCTTCTCTGCCACCACCCTCCCTGCGGGCTCTGCATGCTTTCTGCCTAGACATCCAAATGGCGGGATAGTAATGATCTCTGGTCTGGAGAGGTAGACAGGGCATTTGTTCTGATTTCCACTTGAAAGATGGTGAATCTGAGGTTTAGAAAGGGCAGCCAGGAAACAACATGTGGCCTGGACTGCAGGGCTCTGGAAGCTCTTTCCAAATTATGCAAGATGCCGAGGACTGTGAGCAGATTTTTATAAAGGGGGACATGACTTACTTTCCTTGTAGATCATGGCCACTTTGAGAGCACCCATTCTTTTAAAATCTTTTGTTCCAGTGCAGGTCACTTTGTTTCATTAAGGAAGCTTACAAGGAAATAAGTTTTTAAAAATCCAATAAATACAAAGGGAGACAATGATAAATTGCATTTTATGGGCTCTAAGGTCTCAAAACCATTTCATTTCCTGAATGCATAATTCCAAATCCGTTTCATATCCTGAATTCATAGTCTACATTTAAAAAGTGCCAGGGACAGTCAAACCAACAGGCAAATAATGCTCATCGATACCTTGAAAGTCTCTTCTTGTCTCAACCCCTAAAGACTGCGTTTTCCTCTCCCATGGTTCCCTAGAAATCATGTAGCTTAGATTTGGTATCTCAGCTTTTCTTGACAGCTGTGTTATGCCACTACATGGG